>NC_000006.12:6575151-6726666 GCF_000001405.40 Homo sapiens | reverse complement strand
ATTATGGCTGCAAACAAGGGCAGGTGCTTTCTGCACTTTGTATAGGAATGGCACAGCTGCAAGGCAGACAAGAGGGCCCCCAAAGGAATCTAACAGAGCTGTCAACTAGGTGGAATTAGTCTACCAGAAAAGATATTGTATAAATATTCATGCAATATAATTTTTGTCCAGCTTATTAGTTCTTTGGGATAATTTACTAGGAAAATTTCATGAAAACTACCTGTCAGTTTGACTTTGGAATTACTGTACCCATGATTTTTTCTGATGCCTATAGGATTAGAGAGGACTGACTCAGTCCCTCATGATTCCCTGGATCAACAGCCAGTATTACTTCTTACTATTTGACAATTTCAACAGAAAGATTGAGTTGTTTTATATCTTATCCAGCTTTTAAATGGTTGTCAGTGGGAAATGTAGTCCAAATACCTAGCCTAATGCTATTGGAAACTGGAAGCACTATCAGTGAAGTTCCCCATTCAGTTATAGGCGCACTCTATGCTAGACTGAGTGATATTTCTATGGTTAGTACGCCCCCGGGGTTAGAGGCTCCCTGGTCTTTGTCAACTGAAACCGCTGAATTGAACAAGGAAGGAGAAAGAGGAGTTCCAGAGGCAGATCAGATGCTGATGACCAAGAGTACGGAACTTGGCCACTCACGGGGCCTGCCAAGGTCCTAGCACGTAGTGTGCAGAGGGCAGGATCTGAAAATGAAGTGTTTGTGAATGGTGTGCAACAAACAGTAACCACTTCCTAAAGAATAGTCAGGCACAGTGACAGATTGGACAACAGCGAGAAGGGACTGGCTAAGGACTGGCCGCCTGGGTTCCGAGGCCAGAGTGGGGGAAAGGAAATGCAATGAGAAGGGGGATGGGGAGAAGGCAGTGAGAACCCCACCACCCCAGCTCTGGGCTTGTGAGCAGGTGGTGAGACCTCAGGGCTGGGGTTTGGTCACCTGTCACCCCTCACCTCTGCTAGACGCTTCAATCTGCCCAGGCCCTTTGGGGGCAAAGGTCTTCCAATGAGATGGTATCATGAATTCAGGCCTGTCCCGAGGAGCTTGCACGGAGAAATGAATAGTAAGATTACACAAGCCTCCTCCCTCCCTGCCTCTGGTGACCCAGATGGAGGGGGAGGCCCACCGTGCTGCCCCAGGCTTTTTCCAGCACGAAGGAGTTCTTCCTTGGGGTGGAACCCCTTGGTGAATTAGGAAGAGATGTGCGGTGGGAAGAAGAGAATGGTGCAGTGGGAGGAGGGGCAGAGGCCAATCCTGAACGCCCCAGGGGCCCTTTGCAATGCAGAGCGGTCCTGGCAGGGGACGCCCAAGTGGCGCTCGAGTTGGTCCCAGGGAGGGATGCCACGTTCTTACCTCTAGCAAGGCCTGGGTACGAGCTGGGGTTGTGACACGTGTGTGTTCAGAGCCAAGCGGCTGGTCCCTGAATTGGGTCACCTCAGACGGGCAACGGTTGATCTATCCCGATTGCTGAGATGAGATTTCGTCCTTCCTTGTAAAACCCAGCTGTGCCCCCCGGCTTCTGCCAGCACCAAGGCACTCCTTTGTCCTAGCGTTCCAGGAGGCTGAAGAGCTGAGTAACCCAAAGGGCATGGCGCCCAAGCCGCCTCAGCGCGCTGTCTGCGAATGGGCTCTAGGCGCTGGGTCGGGCTGCTGGGCCCGGCTGCTGGGCCCCAGGGGCTCTAAGGGGACAGGATGTGTTGGGACCTTCACTTATCTTCCTAGCACGTGCGGGGGCTGCAGCCCAACTTCCCCAAGAGCGGTGTCTCCCTGGCACAGCTTTGGAGTTGGAGGGATCGCCCCCTCCCCTGCCTGTCTTTCTAACTTGTTTTTCTGCTGACGCTGGAGCCACGGTACTTTTGCTTTTTGAAACACCCTGTAATTGGAAGAAGAAAAAAAAAAGACGAGTCTGCTCAGTGTTATGAGACAGGCACGTGCTGCCCTCTAATGGCTCCTGCCTTGTGGGTTTCCAGGCTCCCCGGGGAAGGGGCGCCCCAGGCCTGCCTTCCTGGAGGGTCTGCGGAGGGTTTCCTTCCTCCGGGTAAGCGGGCCCCTTTCCCTGCAGCCTGCTCAAGCGTCGGGGAAAGATGTCCGAAGACAGGTAGCTTTGTGTGGCTGGCTGTGAGAGGAGAACGGTCCTACATTCCACTCCAGACCAGGAGCGTTTCTTGGAGCCATGTACCCTACCAGCTTAGGAAGGAGTTGCTCATCCTCCCTCGCAGTCCCTCTGTGTCTACAAAGGAAAGCACAGCGCATGGCAAAGGCCGGTCAGCAGGCTCGTGCACGCAAACAGGCTTCCTTTTCCTGTCCTGCTGGCCAGAGGGGATGCGGGGGATGGGGTAAAATGCTGCTGATACCCCCCTCAGACTTTCCACTGGCAGCCTCCGGAACCTACTCAAAAGCCGAACACAAACCTCTTGAAAAAAAACATCAGAGTTAATGTTTGCAGAAACTGAAGACATTGGTTGGACATAGTCCAGTTCTGTTTAGAGGGGAAACTAGGATTTAATCAAGGAACAAAGTTCATAGGTGTGGGAGGAAAACCTGGGAAACGTTCTGTTTTGGTAGCTGGAAAGCTTGTCTCCAGAAGTGAAGGAAAGAAGCTGAAAGAGGAACTTGTATTTTCCTCCAGCGAGCTCAGATCCTGGCAAAGGGAGAGCGTGATGCTGGTGCGAGCTCTGTGGCTCGGTGGGAAACAGTGCAAAAGTTAGTGTTCCCAAGTTTAGAACGTTTTATGTAGTAAGGGTTCTTGGAAAAGTGCAAACAAAGCAGAGTGGTCCTTCTTGAGCTTTTCCTAAGTTGGGAGTTACTGGTCACAGAGCTTAATGAGGCAGTTCCTGTGGGAGCGGCTGCTCGGGGTGGCAGACCACTGCTAAATTCTGCCCCCGGAAGGGTGATGGAGGCAGAAAGTGGAGAAGGCTGGGTTGAAATCTGACTGAATGAGCCTCATTTTCACAGGAGGGTTAGACAAGAAGTCCCTTTCCTGGCTGGCCACTTCTTGTAGAAATGGAGAAGCATTTTTATTTTTTACCTTATTTAGATCTTCAGTTACAAAAGGCTGTCATTAGGAAATGAGTCTTTCCCCATCCCTTCCCTGCTCAACTGTAGAGGATGAAAGTTTTTTTTTTTCCTTCTCTCTTTTCTGATAATCCTGAGCAAATTCTGAAGAAACACAATTTTTTTTTTTAAAGTGTTCTCTCTTTCAACAGAACTGGCCTGAACTTTTGGCCTAGTCTCTCTCCATAAGCCTGATGGTGCTCATCCAGCCCCAGATCGTGTGAGCAGCTCTCTAAGGCTATAGGAGCCCCGGGCATGTCCTCTTCAGGCCCTGTGGGAACCCTGGCTCCCACATTGTAAGGGATTGTCAGGAAAAAGGGTCAAGCTGGCTGTTAGTGCTGGCTTCAAGGGGACAGAGCTGGGTCTGAAATATGTGTATTTTCTATCTTGAGTTTTGTTTTATGAGCACCCCTGCAACCCACAGCTTACAGATGCCACAAGGTGCCTTTGGGAGATGTTTTTCCAGTCTTGTTCAGCAGGGAGCCCCTTTCCCCTAACCAAGCATTTCACACAAAGCCAGTCCCAAGTCTGGAGACCTCAGTATTTCCCCAAAGCTGGATTCCTGCTGAGCTGCACACATCTGCTCCCTAGTTGGTTCTATTTGGGTAAAATCAAAAGTAAACAGAGGGCCCTGGGCTTATATGTGATGTTTAAAACAAAAGGATGTAACCAGAGGGCCTCTACTTTGAATCCCTGACATTCCATGATTCGCTGCTAATGTTCTTCTAGCAGTGGCTGGAGGAAGCCGGCAAGATCTGAATGCCGTGGGGTCCTGGGGAAAATGGTACCCAACAGTAGGACTTCAGCTCAGCAGAAAGTAGACGAGGCTCTGAATATACCCTACCCCGTGCAATAGGCAGCCCACCAAATTCAGGTAACCCTTGCATTGTGGCTTTGCCCCCCACCTCTTTTTTTTTTTTTTTTTTTTTTTTTTTTTTTGAGATCGGGTGTTGCTCTGTCACCCAGGCTGGAGTGCAGTGGCGTGATCACAGCTCAATATTGCCTGGACTGCCTGAGCTGAAGTGATTCTCCCACCTCAGCCTCCCGTGTAGCTGGGACCATAGGTGCATTGCCACACCCAGCTAATTTTCAAAAAATTATTTGTAGTGAAGTCTCATTTTGTTGCCCAAACTGGTCTCCAACTCCCGGGCTCAAGCAATCCTCCCACCCTGGCCTCTCAAAGTACTGAGATTACAAGCGTGAGCCACCACACCCGGCCAGCTTTGCCACTTTTATAGGCTCACAGGCAAGTTACTTCTCCAAGCCTGTTTCCTCCCTGGTAAAATGAAAATGTGAGCATTAGATTGTTTGGATGCAGGGCTTATTCTATTGGAAGAAGTCAGTATTAAGGCTTGAGCAGATGGGAATGACATGTAGAGCTGGTTTTGGTGAGTTCTGTGCCGCATTTGGACCATGGGCAGGTGCGGGAAGGGGATATAGGATCCAAGTAGAAAAGCTTTGCAAAGAAAGACAATGGTTCAGAGAGGACAGACCTGGGACTCCTTGTGGAGAAACTGGTTCAGATCACAACCTGAGTCTTAAGAGCAGCCTCTGGGCAGGAGTCAGAAAGCTGGAGAAACATAGGAGAAACCCAAGAGGCCAACTCTGCATGGGGAATATAGCAGAGAAGAGAATAGGACAGGACCTGCAGGGAGAAGTTTTGGCAGAGTGGAAAAGGGGAGCTGAGGGGGCCCCAAACTGGGAATCAGTCCAAAGACACCAGTCTGCCAGGCTGAGAGGGGAACTTGGAGCAACAGCTTGTTAAGCACTTGATTAATGAATAAGCTGCTGGCTGGTTCAGGTAAGGGTGCACCTGTGATTTACCTAATCCCTACAAAGCTCACACAGTGAGATCTCCACGCACTCAAGTTGTTTTGTACTCGAAGTGCTTGACTGAGCCTGGACTGTGCTGAGCAGCCTTGTGGGAGGGACTCCTAGGAGAAAGTTTCTTAAAAACAAAAATAGACTCTTGGGGTGGTGGTTCTTGCCCATTAACCAAAGTGGCAATAAAAAGTTGCTTTTAAACTTGGGAGCTCCAGAAGCTATTATGGGACAAAATATGAGCAGAAGTTAGTAGTGTAGTATATCACTCTAGAATTTAGATTCTTTCATCCTTATGACCTTTCTTGTATAGGTATTTTTTTGTTCCTATAAACTAAGACTTTTAATTAAACCACAACACTCATAGAGAAAACTGGCAAAATTCTAAATATTTGGTTGATAAAAGTTCAAAAACTCAAAAGGCTTACATAACCAGCACTCCCATTAAACTATAGAACACGACCAGCTCCCGGGTACACACCTTGACCACTTCTCCAGGACCAGCCCTCATCCTTTCCATAGCTTAGTTTGCCTGTATTTCCTCCCTTTGGTTAAAAGAAACTAATTGTGGTAAAATACAACATAAAATTTACTATCTTAACCATTTTTAAATATACAGTTCAGTGACATTTCAACATATTCATTGTTGTGCCACCATCAACACCATCTGCCTCCAGAATTCTTTATTTTGCAAAACTGAAACTCCATATACCTTAAACAACTCCCCATTTCCCCTGCTCCCAGCCTTTGGCAACCATTCTTCTACCTTCTGTCTCTATGGACAGTACTCCTCTATGTACTTCATGCAAGTGGAATCATAAAGCATTCATCCTTGTGTGTCTGGCTTGTTTCACTGAGCTTGATGTTCACAAGGTTCATCCATGCTGCAGCGTATATCAGAATCTCCTTCTTTTTTAAGGCTGAATGTATTTCATTGTGTGGATACAACACATTTTGTTTACTCATCTATCTGTTGTTGATGGACGCTTGAGTTGCCTCCATCCTTCAGCTATTGTACATAATGCCGTTTTGCACACGGATGTATAAAGATGTCTTTGAGGCCCTGCTTTAAATTCTTTTGGGAATGTACCCGGAAGTGGAATTGCTGGATTATATGACGATTCCATTTTTAATTGTTTGAAGAACTGCTATACTGGTTACTCACAGCTGGTCTTGTTGGTTTTTAACTTTATATTCATGGAATCATTGAGTGTGTACTCTTGTGTCTGGATTTTTGGTTCAACTTCGTGTCTGTGAAACTCAAACTTTGTCATTTGCAACAAGCATCCTAGTGTTCTAAGGAGTTATAATTACTTGATTTTTGTTTGTGTGTGTGCTTTATATTCCCATGTCTTATTAAGCCATGCTTTTTTTATAGGTAGATCCTTCCAGTTCTGTCATTAGCCGTGCAGCATGTGGTAAGCTTATTGAGTAGAGTAGAACATTTCTTTTTTAAAGTTCAACAGAAACCTTTGCTAAACGCATTTTCTAGACGTTACATCAGGTCCTGTGATTCTCGTCTCCTGTGGGGACATCAAGCCTCAGCTCTGTTTCTGGTGCTCTAATAAACTCCACATTCCATGTGACAATTCCTGCAGAGTCCTCCAATTGGGCCTACTAGTATGGCCAGGATGCTTTTTAATTTTAGGGCTCCTTTTATAATTTTATGATAGAGTACTTCGATCAGCCCTTTAGTTATCCTGGCTGAGAAGCACTCCATCTGTTAAGATCACCCTACATTTCACACCACCTCTAAACTGGCTTTTCCAATGAACTCCTCCATCCAAAACCATGCAGTGGAAATCAGTGCAGTTGGAATTACCTCTCTGCAGAACCTCTGAAGCTCCTGTGGGTTTCTCTGAATACTTTTTTTTTTTTTTTTTAACATTTTTGTAGATGTTGTGAAAAACATTTCTTGTAAATCAATATCTAGTTTAGTAATGTGTCAATATCACCTCTTTAACAAGGTCTTGTTGAAATGTTCCAGCAAGGTCCAGCTATGTTCCAGGGGGTCAGAGAAGTGTGCCCCTAACATGGTTGTGGGGAACAGAGCATTTCCTCTGAGGAAGGAGCTTCTAGGACTAGAAATGAAGGGCCTTGGGAATCTCCCTAAGCCATCAGCTTACAGTGGAGCGGAGCGGACAGAATTCTTTCTATGCTCTTTGGTGATTTCAGGATGGAGCATGGAATAGGAGCTGCTCATGATATGTTTAGGTGGAGTCAGGGGTCCTGGGTTTCAGTCCCTCCTCTGACTCTTAACAGAACGTAATCTTGAGCAGGTCATTTGACCTTGCAGAGCCCTGGTGTCTCCATTGGTGAAAAAAGCATCATTTACAGAGATCTTAAGTTGTCTCGTCTGTTGTGGTCTTTCATGCCTCCATTCCCAGAAAGCTGCCCAGCCTTCGAGCTCCTCATCTTGCTTAGGAGGTTTGTGATGTAGGACTTAAGCAGATTTTCCCTCATGGATTTTATTTTGAAAGCTTAAAGTCATACAGGAGATCACGCTAGCTCGTGCCTAAGGATGGGGGGGTGAGAGGACAAGGCCATTGAGGGCTGGTGCTTTTGGTTTGGTTTGGTTTGGTTTTCAAGGAGAGCTAGCTGCCCAGCAGAGACAAGACAGGTTGCTTTCCGTGGCTAGGGGAGAGTCGGGTTGGGAATTCAGGGGGGTCGCTAGGAACTCGAGTCCTGGATTGTCAGTCACAGCTCCCAGAGGTGGCCAAGCCTCGGAAAGGGGTGGTGCATCCTGTGAGCAGCACACAGATCTCTTTAAGGTACCAGGTGGGCCAAGACAATGATCTAGTAAGGATGACCAGGGAGGAAAACCAGAGAAGCCACCATGCATGTTCTCCTTTGCTCACAGTCATGGACCTTTGCCTTTGGAACAACTTTAGGAGCTGGGATGAGACAGGACAGTGGAGAAAGGGCTGAGGTTGAATTTCTGACCACTCTAGTGGCATCTGGGCTTAGAATTCATTTAATTCAATCAATATGAAGAAATGGGCCAGGCACAGGGGGCCAGTGGCCCACTGGCAATAATCCCAGCACTTTGGGAGGCCAAGGCGGGCAGATCGGGTGAGTTTAGGAGTTCGAGACCAGCCTGGCCAACGTGGTGAAACCCCGTCTCTATTAAAAATACAAAAATTAGCCAGGCATGGTGGCGGGTGCCTGTAATCCCAGCTACTGGGGAGGCTGAGGGAGGAGAATCGCTTGAACCTGGGAGGTGGAGGTTGCAGTGAGCTGAGATCATGCCATTGCACTGCAGCCAGGGCAACAAGAGCAAAACTTTCTCAAAGAAAAAAAAAGAAATGAATATTTCTTGTGATTGAGTTTCTGGAGCAAAATTTCTACTGGCCACATATAAAATGGAGACATCTTAGTTCACAGCTGCATGACAGTTGCAGGAATGAAGAAAGGGTGATGTGTGTGGAAAGATAGTAAATCATGAAGCACTCCACCAGTTCCCATGAGAAGCTGGCTCTCCTGGCTAGAGAAGTACAGGTCCCAGGCTCTCTTACTTATGGGTAGCTAGGAGTGGAAAGTTTCCACAGTGAGACTGGCTTCCCCGGGCCTCTGCATGGGGTTTTCCAGGGCCTATTGCATCCCTGGGCTTGCCAGAACAGGATGTTGACAGTTGGGGCTGCTTCCTCTGTGGGATGGAGTAGGGTGTAGCCTCTAAACGCTGATGCTGCAGGTTTTGCTTAGTTTACTATGGAAGAGAGAGTTTCAAACACTTGGGAAATGTTCTGATGGGATTCTGTGTCCACACTCTGTTACGCCTCAGCTATCTGCAGATAGTGCTGGAAAATGATTTCTTATTCCTGCAGTAGTAACTCACAGAATTGGGACTTACCTGAGTTGGGAGGACCTTAGCCTGAGTCTAGTCCCACGCTGGCCAGTAGAAATCTAATGTGGCCACAATGGGACCACATGTGTTATTTCAGTTGTTTTAAGTAGCCACATTATCAAAAGCTTAAAAAAAAAAAAAAAGAAATAAATTAATACATTTTAATCTACTTGATGTATGAAAAAATAGTATTATAACAAATGATATAAAACGAAATGTAATATATTAATATTCATGGTTACTTTACATTCTTTTGTTCTTTAATGTTTGAAATCCAGTGTACATTTATACTTAAAGCACATCTCAATTTGGACTAGTCACATGCTTAATGACTACATGTGGCTTCTGGATTACACAGCGTAGGTCTATACCAGGAGTCTCAACTGGGGGCTGGGTGCCCCATTTGGGGGACATGTAGCAATGTCTGTAGGCATTTTTGATTCTCATAACTGTAGGAGAGTAGAGGCCACAGATGTTGCTAAACATCCTACAATGCACAGGACAATCCCTGCAACAAAGAATCTTCTGTCCGAAGATATCAGTAGTTCTGAGTTTGAGAAATCCTGATCCTAGACCAAGCTGTGCCCCTACCCCTTGCCCTTTTGTATTTCCCCACAGTGATGGGAATGAGGCACAAGAGCCCAGGGTAGCAGGTCTGGTGTTGGCACTCAGGTGTCCTGAGTGGGGCCCCGGGGCACCTCTGCTCACCCACGTCTCCTCCAGGCTTGTGACTGTAGCAGGGGTTCTCAATCCTTCCTCTAGCACAGCTCAGCAGAGGGACATAAGTGACAGGACCCAAGCCACAAGCAAGAAACCACACCCCCCACAAAGTTCTTTAGCACAGAAGTTCCTTTTGTGTTACATGAAAATTTAGGGAAAATTCACCCACTTGTCGGAACCTGAAGACTGGCCCAAGAGACAAAGGAAACGCTGAACCCAGCAAGAATTCCAGAGCTGATACTCGGCCAGCTCTGAAGGAGGGCCTTCGAAGCATGGGGTTCAGAGGGGGAGCATCTTCTGATGAGACTGGGTTTCTTAACGCGACAACAAGAGGACCAGGAACAGTTTTCTTAATTTTAATTTTAATATTGTTTGAGAGGGAGTCTCACTCTATCTCCCAGGCTGGAGTGCAGTGGCGTGATCTCGGCTCACTGCAGCTTCCACCTCCTGGATTCAAGTGATTCTGCTGCCTCAGCCTCCCAAGTAGCTGGGATTACAGATGCCTGCTGCCACCATGCCCAGCTAATTTTTGTATTTAAGTAGAGATGGGGTTTCATCATGTTGGTCAGGCTGGTCTCAAACTCCTGACCTCAAGTGATCTGCCCTCCTTGGCCTCCCAAAGTGCTGGGATTACAGGCGTGAGCCACTGTACCCGGCAGGAACAGTTTTCTGAATGTCCATTTGAATGTTTATTCTCATCAGTCAATGAAAAGTACGTTGCAGTGACTAGAAGTCACAGCTTAGAATACAGTGACCAACTGTGTTTTCTTGGTCTCCCTAGGAGCCCTTTTCCTCTACGGTAGGTATGTAGATATGGAACTTGAAATTTTTGAAGAAACTTGCAGAATGAGTGAATGAATTTTACATAACAGATATAAACTAGTCTGTCTTCGTTTCAGTGTTAAATCACAAAGTTCTTTTTTAAAGTTATATATATATATATATATATATTTTTTTTTTTTTTTTTTGAGACGGAGTCTCGCTCTGTCGCCCAGGCTGGAGTGCAGTGGCGGGATCTCGGCTCACTGCAAGCTCCGCCTCCCGGGTTCACGCCATTCTCCTGCCTCAGCCTCCCAAGTAGCTGGGACTACAGGCGCCCGCCACTACGCCCGGCTAATTTTTTGTATTTTTAGTAGAGACGGGGTTTCACCGTTTTAGCCGGGATGGTCTCGATCTCCTGACCTCGTGATCCGCCCGCCTCGGCCTCCCAAAGTGCTGGGATTACAGGTGTGAGCCACCGTGCCCGGCCTAAAGTTATATTTTTAAAATTTTATTGATATGTAACAGTTGTACATATTTTGGAGGTATACATGGTATTTTGATGCCTCTATACAATATGCAATGGTCAATCAGGATAATTGGGATATCCATCATCTCAAACATTTCTTTCCTTTCTGTTGGGAACATTGCAATTCTTCTCTTCTAGCCACCTTGAAATATACAATAAATTGTATAAATCACCTCGTTATTTCACTGTTGCTCTTCCCCGACCCTTGGCCTGCCTCCTTTCTGTTCTCACCTCCAGCCCCCTTCTGCATTCCTGCATTTGTTTGTGAATGGCTTGACTCCAGGATGGAAGTGTACTGATAGCTCCCTGGAAGCCTTCCACCCCAGCCATGGGGCCTGGTCCTGGGGGGGTCCCTATAATAAATTTATTTTGTGTCTTGCGCCCCAGGGGAACTTTAGACCTCACTTCTGGAATCTGTGAGCTTTGGGATCTCCTGGAGCCTGTCCATTCACCACAGAGAGAGGGGTCCTTTGCACATTTCTGAAGGGATCAGGAAGCCTTCAGCCCATCCCAAACAGACTCCATACCCGTGGCATAAAGTGGTTATGCTTGCTGGTTGGCAAAGCATAGGCCACCGCATATTCACTCCGTTTGTGTTTTATCTGGGCCTGTTGCTCATTGTTGCCCACCTCATGCGTTTCACTGCTCATTCACTCCATAGAGGTTGAGTAAGCAGAATTCAAACTAGCTGCATTCATTTTGTCATCCGCTTGTGTTAAGGAGACAGAGTTGCAGCTGTTGGAGAATGAGGTTCAGGAGCAGCCCTGTGGCTCTAATGCGTGGCTCCTACCCTAGCCCTGTCTGTGTCATCATGGGCCGACTGCTGGAATCTTGGCCTGTAAAGATGAACAGATGTCAAAGGCCAAGTGACGCCTGGGAATTCCCAGTCCTCTGACCCATGGGTGCAGCCTGGCCTGCCTGCCTCCATGGTCCCTATTTTTTTTTTTTTTTTTTTTTTTTTAAAGACTATCAGCAAGAGACTGTTCTCTAAGTCCACTGGGTGTGCTGGGTGCTGTCTCACTGAGATCCAGAACAACAGTCCTGATTTTCAGAAGTGGAAATCCTTAAAGCTGAAAATGAGAGCCTTGTTCTGCAGAAGAGGAAGAGTACCTTCCGTGTCGCTTGGAGCTGGCCTAATCCACTTAATGCCTTTCAGCTTGGTCATATGGAGGGACTAGCCACAAAGTTAGGGCTACAGCCCCAGCCCCGGGTCCCAGGCAGCTGCCCAGTGTGCTCATGCAGTTAGAATGTTCAGAGAGTAGGACACTGGGCCAAGCACATGGACTATTCTGTCCACCGACCAGCACAGATTAAACCCTTTGTAGACTCCGAGAGCTGTGCTTCTCAGGGAATTAAAGGATAGCTTTTGAAAACTATTTTTCTTTCCTCTTTCTCTCATTTTATTTACTTGAAACAGTATACACAATGTCCTTTTTAAATGAGGTGAAGCCCAGAATCTAGGGATCTGTTTTAAAGTGCAGTGAGGTTTTCCAGATCACTCATGAGGACTCTGCTTAATCTTGCCAGTCTCCTGGCTCTCATTAGAACACAGGCCTGCCTGTAGAAGGGACCCCCAGCATCTCTGCAGCAGCTGGGGAGGGCCATGAAGTGAGATGGAGATGACGCTTCCCTGCTGCTGCGCAGCTGTTTGCTCACCACCTCCCCTTGCAGGCAGCTCCCCGCGGCTGGACTGGGGATGTGCCACTACACAACATGGCCTTGTGCTGCGGACGGATGCTAGGAGCCACCAGGCCTGTAATGCAAGTGCTACGATTAACAGGAGCAAGTGTTCACTTTGCATTCAGGCCCTGGGTTTTTTTTGTTTTGTTTTTGAGACGGCGTCAGGCTGGAGTGCAGTGGTGCGATCACGGCTCCCTGCAGCCCCGGCCTCCTGGACTCAAGTGACCCTCCCACCTTAGCCTCCTGAGTAACTGAGACTGCAGCCACGCACCACCATACTCAGCTAATTTTAATTTTACTTTTTAGTAGAGACGGGGTCTTGCTGTGTTGGCCAGGCTGGCAGGCCCCGGTTTTGCAGTTGTATTTGCTGACCTGGCACATCGCTTCTGCTGAATCGTAATGAAAACATTCTTGAACAGGGATGAGTCACAGATGCTTTCATGAAACCCATTTGAGAGCACTGTTGGCCCATGTCCTCCGTGGATGCAGCACTCTTCCCATGGGCGCACGATGGTCATTTACTCCTGGAAAAGGACCTGAGGAAGTAAATGTCTCATCTCACTTTTTCTGCCCCATCTCTGGCTCTACTGCTTTTGTTTTTATCTTGAGACAATACCACACTCTGCTGGAGTTCCTTGGGGAGTCATTTTTAGCGGGGGGGGGGGGGTGGGATATGAGGACACTGGCACGAGGAAAACCTGCTCTAACTGCATTAGTTTTTCTAGACTTTTTTCTATTGTGGATTAAGAAGTTGGAAATGCAGAAACTCTTGGGAAGACAGGCCATGTGCTTTCACGGTACACAAATGGATCTTAAAAACATCCACCCTCCAGCTCATCTGTTGGAGAACCGTGAAGACAAACAGCACTATAAAAAGCATCCTATGCAGCAACTCCGCTTGATGCTGCAGCTGCCAGCGACCCCTCTCTGGAAGGGCGGCTGCTGAGTGCTGGCATTTGCTGAGGTTACTGAGAGCCATTACTGTTCGCTTTTGCACGCCTCACAGCACCTCCCAAAAAGAAAGTACTCAGATGCTAACGTTTGGCCTCTCCTCCTTCCCTGGCCGTTTCCAGGCCTCTGCTGTGCGTGTTGTCTTACTTCCCTTTAGAACCGAGCTGGTGCTTGTTTGGGCAGCACAGGAAGTGTGGGGCACCCAGATGCCTAAGCACCAGACAGAGGTGGCTGGATGGAGGAGGTGTCCCCTCTGCCATCCTACCCTGCTGCCTTTGTCTCCCTGGTCTCTTTTCTGGGCACTTGGCGCATTCTGCAACAGACGTCCACACACAGGGCTAAGTTCAGGTCCTCAGGGCACTGCTTGGTAGGGTAGGTGCAGTAAGGCTGAGGTCCCTGGATACAGAAGCCTCCCCAAGGCTCTCCTCAGCTCCTGGCGGAGCCCATTCTCTGCTCTGTCCAGGGCTTGTCGAGGGCGTCTCCCGACTTCTTTGGGAAAGCAGTTTGTTTGCCTTTCTCTTTCAACACTCGCCCATTTATCACAAACCCACAAGAGTTCAGACAGCCACGTAGCTCCTGCCTGGTCAGGACACATGGGGAATGGAAGAATTATGACATCAGTGCCCCCAAGAGGTGGTGCAAGTTGAAAACATAATCGGACGCAAAAACAGGTCTAGATTGATTCATACGTGACTAATGCCTGAACATTTTCAGAGGGACCCAGGAATTCCTTCCATCCAAGCCTCTGCTGTGTGCAGAGGGAACAGTAAGGCAGCAGTAGGTCGTTCCTGGTGCTCAGGGAGCTCACAGTCCAGGAACGAGGCGAGCTGCCTGCCCATGCGTCTGGCAGGAGTGGTACCCTGCTGGTGGCTGGGCACCCAGAATGAAGCAGACCCTTTCATGCACCCTGCTCCCAGGCCTTTCTTAGCAGGGGCTGAACACAGAGTTGCACAAATCAGATTCCAGTCTTCAACAGTAATGTGTGTGCTCACCGAACAACTCCTGTGGGGCTGAGCCCACATGTATTAACAGGGTGAAGATTTGTGGGGGAAATCTTCCCTCCCTCACCTGTCTCTCACATTCTGTGCCTCCTGGAGACCATTCAGAATCTCTCTCAGCCCAGCCTCCTGCCGTGTGGCTCTTTCCCCCTCCCCTCTGTCAACCTCAAACCACATTTCCCCTGTATCCCTCAGCCCCGTAGACATCGTCTTCACTTCTTCCTTTTTTCAGTAGGTCTCGGTTCCCTTGCGAGTTCTTTCTCACCCCTCCCCCATCAGCTCGTGGAAGCTTGGAGTGTGGAGCACAGCAAACCAAGGGGCCTCCTTTGGGACCCTGTGACAGTGCAGGGCTGCACCTGAGCCCTGTGCCTCTGGACAACAGCCAAGGGCAATTGCCCACACTTGTATGTCAGATGTCTCCCACCCTTTTGTGTTCCAGGAAATGACTTACTGCAAAGAACCACTCTTCCCCACGAGACTTCGAGAAGACCCGCTGTCACGGACTGAGTTGTGTCCTCTTAAAATTCAGATGTTGGAGTCCAAACCCCCAGTAACTCAGAGTGTGAACGTATTTGAAGAGGTCTTTAAAGAGGTGATGAAGGTAAAATGAAGTCACTAGGGTGGGCCCTAATCCAACCTGACAGGTGTCCTCATAAGTAGAGGAGATGAGGACACAGACACATGGAGGAAAGACCATGTGGGGACACAGGGAGAAGATGGCTGAGGGGAGAGGCCAGAGGAGAAACCAGCCCTGTCCATGTGTTGACCTGGGACTTCCAGCCTCCAGCATGGTGAGACGATGCATCTCTGGTTAAGCCCCATCTGTGCAGTACTTTGTTATGGCAGCCCTACTAGCACACCAGTAGGTCCATTCATAAATGCCGTATACTCGTTCTTGTGATTTCCGTAACAGTCATGGGTGACTGCCTTGTTTCCTGTGATAAGGACACAGAGACCCTCCAAATTACCATTCTTTGTTTCTTAAATGATTAGCTGAACTATTTGTCCCTCCAAACAAGCTAGAAACAGCTAGATACTCCTTGTCCAGCTGATTGACAGATGCCTCCTGATGACATAAACATGCCAACTGTAAAATCACCCCCACCTGGAACTGGTTCACTCCTCCCTATAAAAGTCTAGACAAAACCAACTGCCAGGACACTCAGGTTTTGGGATCTGGGTGCTCTCCCGACTATAATATAATAACCTGAATAAAGTCAGTTTGCTTACCGGCTTAGGTCTTTGTCTCTGACAATTTGCCTCTGTGACGTGGATGGGACTGGAAGTCCATTTGGAGCCCTGTCTTCTCCACCTAGGGAGAGAGACCCCATGAGCTCGTCAAGCTCCTTCTGTGACTGATCAGAGATCCCACCGTGAGTCCAGCTCCTGGTCCCATGCTCTGGATATATCGGTCCCTGGCAGCGTGGTAAGGATTTGATTTTGATTATTTGCTTGAGTGCCCTTCTGGCTTTGTTTCGTAGTTGGCTTCTGTTTAACCTTGGTGCTATGCGAAATTCTCAATCCACTTCTCACCCTGCCCTTTAAAAATCCCTTCCGATGATACGTATTCCACTGTGATGAGAATTCAGTTCATTATCCCAAAAAATGGCAAGATTTCCCTGAGGACAACTTGGAACTGCAAGTTGATCCCTCTGAGGCACCTGGAATCTCCCTGTGTCCATCTACAGATCCCCCTCAAGATCTGTTCTCTTCAAAGGTCAGCTTATTTTGCTTGGTCCAAGGAGGCTGAAACATGAGAAAATGTCTCCAATCTACTTCAAACTGAGCAGTCCCTTAAGCACGTCTCTCACTACCAATCTCTCCTCCCACTCCTCCACCCTTAACAAAACCTCTCAACCCTTTCTCCCCCTGCCCCACCCCTCTATGGGCCCTGCTCTGATGCTTTCCCCCCTACCCAGTATTCCTCCTTAGTCTGAGGGACTTTTTTCCTCCTTTAGCCCCTGCTCCCCAATCTTCCCTGCTCCTACTTCCCTACCTCATCCTGATGTATTGGTGCTTCCCCATCATGATAGAAGGCCCATGACCCGAGGGCCGAATTGAATAAGGACTCACTCAGGTCCATATGCAGTTGTGAAGGGCTTTTCAGACAGACCAGGGAAGAGTTTACTAATCCATTTGGTTTTGTCCTTGGGGCGTATTCTCCTGGGTTCCCTGAACTTTATCAATTTTTGCAGCTGTTAATGGGTACCAGAGATGCCACCTTATGGTTTGAAAAGCCACACGGGCTACTCTTCATGAGGACTTCCAAGGAAATCAGAACACCCTGATACAGGCCAGAACTATAGGGGAGAGACTTTAGAATCCATTCCCACTGTGGCTCCTGGAAAACTGATTGGTCAAAGATAAAAGACGGCAGACAACACAGAGATGAATGTGCCTCTCAATATAGACATAGATTAGAAAATGTTAGGAAGGACATTTTCAGAGAGTCAGTTGCGAGAGTTGCTAAAGCTCTACAAAGTATATGATCTGATCTTATATTTGATGACTGAGCCACTTTTGCTTTTATTAATTATGTTAATGGCTTCTGATCAGAAATCAAAGATATTACCCCAAAGCCAATGTAAGTAGGCAGAACGCTTCTCTCTCTGAAAGTGTTACACTAGCCCAACACCCTGAAGAATCCATGAGAGAAAAGGCCAAATCAACACAGTGCAAACTGACGGCTGCACAACTTACCAGAAGGAAGCAAACCAGGCCAATCTGCTTACTCCAAACCCCCACTTGCTAGGCACACATGCAGATACAAATAAAAAGAATGCTGGCTTGGGATTGGCTGGCTTTAAAACAAAAGAGAGCAAGGGTTTAAAAATCCATCTTTTAACGACTTTCTTGGAGGGGTATGTTCCCCTTTGTGTCCACACTAACTCAGGAGAGAATCTTCCCCATCAATGGACACTCCCCTCCCTTCCTAATGGACCCCGAGCAACACATCTCACCATGAACACCTCTTGCCACACTCCCTAAGAGCACACAAGCCATGCCTGTTGGTGGGACTTGATAAGCATCCATGTGCTGCCTTTAACAGAACCTTCTGTCTTACTAGGACCCTCCCCACCCAGCACAGCTTCTTAGTTCCACTACCCAGTAAACCTTCTGGAAAGAGTTACTTTCCAACTGGACTGTCAGTAGTTTTGCTCCCCGAGGGCCTCACACTTGAGGTCCTTGGGTTCCCAGCCTTGCATCTTTGCCCTTTCATGGCTCTTATTGACCATCACACTTTTCTTGTTTCTGTCAAAATCCCTGATCCCCCTTTAAAACCTCAAGCACAAACTATGCTAACTAAAATACCCGACTGCCTTTGAGCTGGTCACTCAACTGACGCAGGCCAAATCAAGAAGGCCAAACCTCTCAACGTAGAAATAGAACCTTCCATGCTACTCTCAAGTATAATATCCTCAAGACAAGAATTCTCCAAGATCTTCAACTTATAATTCAAGGTGTCCTTCACAAAGCTCTTCTAGTCTCCATGTCTGGTTCCTGTGATACTCCCATCCTCTCAGTAAAGAGGCTCAATGGGATACCAACTAGTCCAAAGCTCACAAGCAATTATTCAAATAGACAATACCAGGCTTTCTCTAAGGACCCCAACACCATTCTGGCTTCTCTCCACCCAACACTATTCATCTCACAGTCATCAACTTATGTTCTGCTAAAAAAATTTTTTTTTTTTTTTGAGATGGAGTCTTGCTCTGTTGCCCAGGCTGGAGTGCAGTGGCATGATCTTGGCTCACTGCAACCTCCACCTCCCAGGTTCAAGCAACTTTCCTGCCTCAGCCTCCTGAGTAGCTGGGATTACAGGCACATACCACCACAGCAGGCTAGGTTGTTTTTTTTTTTTTTTTTTTTTTTTATTTTTAGTAGAGATGGGGTTTCACCTTGTTGGCTGGGCTGGTCTCAAACTCCTGACCTCAGGTGATCTACCCGCCTCAGCCTCCCAAAGTGCTTGGGATTACAGGCATAAGCCACCATGCCCGACCATGTTCTGCTTTTATCAGTATGCTTTCAACCCTGACTCAAATATCCTTTTGCCTTCACCTGGAAAGGTCAATAATACACATGGACTGCCATGCCTCGGGTTTACGGAAGCCCCCACCTATCTCCCCAGGACCCCTTTCAGGCTATTCTGGGCACTGGCTGTTGAGGAATGCCCTGGATTCAGTTTTCCAATTTATTTGTCTATAAAGCCCTAATGTGAACAATTTTTTGCTTGCTGAGTATTTTCAATGACAACCAAATAATCGAGTTTCCCGTAGATCAGTGACTCTTAACCGGGGCATCTTGCCCCTCAGGGGACAATTGGCAATGTCCAAAGAAGACATTTTTGATTGTCACAAGTGGAGGGGAGGAGATGCTACCAGTGCCTCGTGGGTGGAGGCCAGCGATGCTGCTACACATCTTGCAGTGCATAGGATGGTCCCCACATCAAAGAATGATCCCACCAAAAATGTCAGCAGTGTCAAGGCATAGAAACGCTGATCAAGACAATGACCCTTTCCAGTCTTATTTAATAAATAAAAAGAACTCAACCAGTTTTCTTTGGTGATGGAGGATGGTTCTTACAGCAGTGTCCTTCCTTTAAATTGTATGAGCTGTAGTGTAGAAATAGAAATGAAACAGTTATCTTTTTGTCTAGTTTTTGGACAAAAAATTGGTCCAGAACACACCATGAAGGATGATTCTGGGAAATCAGATATTGCAGATGAAAGAGAACTTGGCTGGGGACAAGCTCTGGGTTCTAGCTCTGGTTCTAATGCCAACTTGCTGGGTGTCTGGGACTGTCACTCTCATCTAGGGGTGGAACTAAAGCACCTTCAGACCTCTGCTGCCTCTAACAGTTTCTTCTAGAACAAGTCCATGCATGAGTCAGTTGAGAGAGTTGCTAAAGCTTAACAGAATATAAAGGAATAAGGAAGAAGAAACCACTCCACCTCTGCCCTTCCACTTTCGTCGGCAGGGTACGTCCACCCATAGCATGGGCTCCCTGTGTGACCCACTTCCCTGCTTCCGCATGGGCTTGAGGGAGGAGGAGGCCTGGCATGCCGGAAGGCTGGCCAGGGGTGAGGTCCGTGCTTGGGGACTGGTGATGTGAGAATGGGCTAAGCAGTGAAGAACTCTGTGGCATCTGTTTTTAAAATGGAGTCCAGGGGTGAGCAGTGGCTTATGAATGTTCTCAAGAAAGAAATGATGACTAGCCTTGGACATTTTGATGTTGCTCTTTGAAAAGATCCATATTCTCTTTTGGGATGAATTATAGTTCACTTGTGATATTTCTTTTAAATATATTTTTTAATCTTTAAAATTATTTTTATTTTTATTATTTTTTAGAGATGATTCCTTGCTCTGTTGCCCAGATGGGAGTGCAGTGGGCACCATTATAGCTCACTGCAGTCTCGAACTCCTGGGCTCAAGTGTTCCTCCCACCACAATTTCCCAAATAGCTCGGACTACGAGTGTGACTTACAATATTTCTTATTACACAGGAAGCTGAATTTTTTTCTTTAACTTGCAAGAAGTCTGTGGCATTTTTTAAATTTATTTTTGTCTTCACAAACAAGTAGAGTAAGTGATTTAAAAAGGTATACACGTGAAATCTTTTTCATAGGTTATCCATATTACATGGTAAGCAAGTTAAACATATAAAAGGCTGTACAGAGAAAAAAGGAGTCCTCCTCCCAGCTCGGGGGTAGTTGATCTTTGTTTTCTTATCACTATGGTCTTGGAGGGCAGAAGTTGGAGAGTTGAAGCCATAGTGAAGCATCACCAAACTAAGAAGGCTCAGGTCTTGGGACAGCTCCATGCACAGGCTGAATGGGACGGCTGCCAGGAAGATAATATTCTGTTCTGGATGTACATTTCCAGGGCCAGTAAGTGACTGCACACACCTGAGGCAGTTGACCTTCTGCTCTGTCGATGAAAGAAGAGGGGACAAAAATCAAGGGACAGGAACAAGGCAAGAAATTGAGGCTTTTGGAGTTATAGGCTGGAATTGTGCTGAATTTTCTTCTGAAATAGTTCACTAAGGTGTATTAGCCAACCACTTATGTCTTTCCTTCTATGTCATTTTCTTTTTTTTTTTTTTTTTTTTTTTTTTGTTATGGAGTTTTGCTCTTGTCCAGACTGGAGTGCAGTGGCGCAATCTTGGCTCACTGTGACCTCCGCCTCCTGAGTTCAAGTGATTCTCCTGCCTCAGCTCCTGAGTAGCTGGGATTACAGGCGTGCACCACCACGCCCGGCTAACTTTTGTATTTTTTGGGAGAGACGGGGTTTCACCGCGTTGGCCAGGCTGGTCTCGAACTCCTGACGTTAGGTGATCTGCCCACCTTAGCCTCCCAAAGTGCTGGGATTATAAGCATGAGCCACCATACCCAACCTATGTCATCATTTTCAGTGGAAGTAGTTGTCTAATACGAGGAAGTAACACGTGTTCAAAAGAATAGAGTAGGGTTGCTTGATCTTCTGTGTTTTCTTAGAGCTCTATTTTCTTTGTGTTCAGAGCAAGTTCTGATTTGGACAAAAAGCATGGCCTCTTAGGGCTGTCAGTGCTGCCACTTACTTGGTTGTGGGCTTAATGTGCTGGCTTTGAGTCTGTCTCACTGACTCCCATGCTTCGTGGGTCCCTGGAATTCTGTGCTTATGGGGATCCCCAACATGACCTGCACATAGGACAGCAGGAAAGGAGGACATATATACTGCGTACATCTCCTCTGCTCACATGCATCTCCACTGTCCCCATAGGATTTCACTCGTAAAACACAAGTTCACAGATAAGACTAAGGATGTTAAGACGGTGATGGTAGAGCACTAAGCCAAGTGTGGGTCCTTCTAAGCACAAGGCCTTGTGCAGCATGACAGGTTGGTCACCATGAAGTGGTCTCTGCCGATGTGGTTATGAAACCAGGAGGGCTGAGGGATCTTGAAACATGGGATGAGCTGCCTAAGGCCAAAACCAATGTTCTGAGGATGGTAGAGCCCAGAGCTTGAAGGAATTTATGTTCCTGACAACAACACTGAACCACTGGTTTTAATCTCCTTGGAACTTGCTTGGACTTCTTATCTGAGATTAGAATATCCTTGTTTTTAAAGGTGGTTTGAGCTGAGTGTCACTTGCAGGTGAAAGCTTTGTGACGTACACCAGAGGACATCTTGTCCCTAATGAGTGAATGCCATAATACTTTACCTTTATTTTCCTTACTAGGCTCCATCTCCGTAGCCTGCTTTTGACAAAAGTGGATACATAAATCTAGGGGCCACCTAGCTAGTTCTAATAAGACTTTGGAAGTCAAAAGCTAAAGAAGACCAGGGGACCAAGCTGGAAATCAGGCTCTGCAATCAGATTCCAGAGGGAATGCCATTCCACCCAATCACCTAGCCACAACGGTTCCCTTCCTTCAAGATGCTGCATGCCTCTTCAGGCGAATGGATTACCTTGTAAGAGTGACCTGAAAAAGCGTTAGCCCAGCCACACCGAGGCTTAACTGAGCCATTTGATTCTCACTGCCTCTCTCTGTTGCTTCCTCTTGCTTTCAACTACAGGGTCTTTCTGTTTAGGTGGTGAAAAAAATGATCGTTAAAAACAATAAACCTGGGGACCTCTGATACCATGAGCCCAGCCAGAGATCTGTGTCAAGCAAATCCTTGCAGACAGTTCTGCCAGCCTGCAGATGGCTGTTTGCCTCTCGTGGATTTGATAAGTGCTCATTTATGCCCAGAGGCCTCTGGGAGATAGTGCTCATGCTGAGCTTACAAACTGAAAACCATTATCTGTTCCTTACCTGAGACCCTGGGGAGCAGTCAGCTCACTCCCTGCCGATGGCCTAAGATAGGTACTGATGTTACAGTTGAGGAATATCTAGGAGTAACAAACTTAAGTAGCTGGAATATGCCAATTTTGACAATTTGACAACATCATTATAAACATTCTGAAGTACTTACAAGTCTTTTTTTTTTTTTTTTTTTTTTTTGGGAGACAGAGTCTTACTTACTCTGTCACAGACTAAAGTGCAGTGGCGTGATCTCGGCTCACTACAACCTTTGCCTTCTAGATTCAAGCGATTTTCCTGCCTCAGCCTCCCGAGTAGCTGAGATTACAGTCACACACTAAGGTGCCCGGCTAATTTTTGTATTTTCAGTGGAGAAGGGGTTTCACCACGTTGGTCAGGCTGGTCTGGAACTCCTGACCTCAGGTGATCTGCCTGCCTCAGCCTCCCAAAGTGTTGGGATTACAGGCATGAGCCACCGTGCCTGGCCATGCAATACTTAGAGTCACAGAAGTTTATGGTTAGATAATTCTCACAGAGGTGACCTGGTTCAGCTCTACCATCAAGGTCATTGAGACACTGGCACCTTGCCCAAGGTCATGCCAACCTGGGATTAGGCGTTTCCTGCCCGATGCCCTTTCCCCACTTTCCACACCTATTGTTCATACTAATTTATTGCAGGTCTTATTTCTACAGCCTCCTTTAATTGCTTTATGTTCACGGGACACTGTCTTCAGGATAAGATTGCAAGTATTTTTTTATATTACTTCCTCTTGTCCCTGATACTGTAGGGTTTCAAGCTGAAACCAGTCAAAAAGGACTTCATGCTGAGTAACTTTTGCCCAGGCAGCAGGGCTGAGGAGCTGGGGACGAAGGAGAGACCCTGGCTGTATTCTTTCTGATAGGTGTTACACATCAGGCTTGAGTTAATTTGGTCAGGTTCAATAATGTGCTGCAGTTACTCTGTAAACACTTAGAATCGTGGAGTGTCAGGTCTGGAAGGAGATTTAAAGACAACCTGGTCTTATGGTTCTCTAACTGTGCTCCAAGGAACCCTAGGGGCTCCTGTGTGTGGGGGTCGGGGTGTGCCTTCTGGTCAGCCTCTAAGAGCAGGTGGGCTGGAGAGCTGAGCTGACTTAGGCCTAAGCACTGGCCCCTTTTCTTGAAATATTTTATTTAATGGGGCTGTATCAGATTTCTTACAAACAAAGGGCTTGGATGATAGACCATGGTCGACAGCTATGAATCTAGTCCAGCTCTTTCATTTTCACTGTGAGCAAATGAGGCTTGGAATGAGGGAAGAGGGACTAGACCACTGCGTGCAGAGCTGCACACATAGCTAGTGACAGGAGCCAGGATGGAAACTCTTTGCAGATGCCCCCTCGATACCTTGCAGAGATGGCCTGGTCCCTCTAAGAAGCTATGTTTTTGGCTTGATGGAGAGATTGAACTACAGAAACCAACTCTCTATGGTGGCTGCTCATCTGGGAAAAGAAAGGGACAAAATCTACACTTACTGAGTGACTACTGTGTCACAGGCATGGAAAATACATTCACTCATTCAGAGCAGGTGTGTGGAGCACCTCCTGCATAGCAGATGCTGCCCTGCCTGTCATGGGTACTCTTTAAGCCTCACAAGCCTGCAGGGGAAGCTATCACGTGCTCCAGAGCTGAAGGCTCTCAGGGTTATGCAGCTGGCTCATCAGTGGCAGACCCACATCTGAACTGACACCCTTTGAACTCCAAATCTGCTGTGCCACATCACATCCTAATATGCTTTTTTTTTTTTTTTTTTTTTTTTTTTGAGACGGAGTCTCGCTCTGTCGCCCAGGCTGGAGTGCAGTGGCGCGATCTCGGCTCACTGCAAGCTCCGCCTCCCGGGTTCACGCCATTCTCCTGCCTCAGCCTCCCGAGTAGCTGGGACTACAGGCGCCCGCTACCACGCCCGGCTAATTTTTTTTGTATTTTTAGTAGAGACGGGGTTTCACTGTGTTAGCCAGGATGGTCTCGATCTCCTGACCTCGTGATCCGCCCGCCTCGGCCTCCCAAAGTGCTGGGATTACAGGCGTGAGCCACCGCGCCCGGCCCCTAATATGCTTTTAATTTTTTTTTAAATGTCTCCAGAAGTCAGCGGGTGTCAACTGCATACGAGCTTCCCAAAGACTCAAAACTCAGTTTAAAAAAAAAATGTGAGTTTCCCTTTATCTGTTCAGAAAAGAGCGTGGTGGGGGTGGGCGGCCCTCAGTGCCTGTTCTCCTGGGGAGATGGTCTTCGGTAAGTGGAGCTCCCTTAGAGTCCTAATCTGTCTCCTGATTTGGGCTTTCACGATTGACACACATGCAGCTTTAGCCTTGTCTCCTGCTCACAGGGAAAATTCTGCTCATCTTGCTGCTCAGCTGCAGGGTGGTTCTGGGAGCAGCTGTCCCTCGGGGAGATGGGTGAGGCCGTATGAATGCCAGCGATGGAGAGATAGCGAACTGTGTGGTGGAGGGAGAAACTGTTAACGTGCAGGAGGGCGCCGCCTTCAGTGGTGCAAGAAGTTTTCAACTGTCCTTGTCTTTCAAAAGACACTGTCTCAACAGAGTGTCAGCAACTTCTGAAGCCATTTCAGGCTGTATTTGTTAATGACATTTTAGAATTCTTCCTGGGTGGGCTCTGCCCAGCTTCTGGTGGTTTAAATATTAGAAATCAGACTGATGTTGGTGCTGGGAGGAGAAGGAATTATGGAAAGACAACATGAAGGGAAGTTCAGGATTTGTGGCAAGTCTTGCCCAGGGATTTGAGGCAAGCTGTGTAGGATCTGGTTCAATCGTTCTGTCTCATACGGGGGATATGATGGCTACCATTCCTTGGAATATATGCATTTTCAGCATTAGTACCCAGGATTTTTTTTCCCCTGCTCTTAGAGTGTGTTGTTAAAAGTTAGTCGTAGTGATGGTTTTATTTTAAAAATTCAAGGTTTTTTTTGTAGAGATGAGGTCTCCTTATGATGCCCAGGCTGGTCTTGTCCTGGGCTCAAGCAGTCTTCCCACCTCAGCCTCCCAAAGTGCTGGAACTACAGGTGTGAGCCACTGCACCCAGCTTCGTTTTTATGTTATTAATTGAAGAGTATATTTTCCCCCCACTAAAGTGGTAATTTTCCAGACTACCTTTAAAGAAGAATAAAACACCTTCCTCTTCCAGGCAGCTAAATCTAAATCTTGTATTCTCTTTTAAAGCAACTCCTTAGCCAAAGACGTGGCAACTGCGGGTGAAGTATCTCTGGGCAGGAAATCAATGCAGAAATGCAACTGGGGAGAGGGGGCTTGGGGGCCAGTTCCAGGGAGATTGGAACTGCTGTGTTCTCATCAGCAGAAGTGGCCCCTGCCCACCCCCATCCTAATCCCTTCTCATGTGGGAGAAGGTCTGTGAGCCCTCTCCCTACCAGGCAGGTTCTATGGCAATGTGGGCACATACCCTGGGGCAGGGGCCGAGGGACTTAACTCACTTCATGAGCGCCAATGGAGGAGCGAAGGGAATGCCTGATGAAAACAACATTCTACCAGTATGCACTGTTTTCTAACCTACAGAGTGCCTCTGTGTTCACTGTCCCATTTGAGAATTCTAAGTAGAATTCTGAACAGGCTGGAGCAGATTGCCCACCCCAAGGGACAGATGTTGGCTGGTACTGTTGGTATTCATGGAAGATTCCTTCTGACACTCCCTCCTTCTTTGTAATTGCCATGAACTGGAGCACTGGGCCAATATAAATCATCCAAGGGTGAACACGCTGCACATGGACGGCTCCTCTTTGTTTTTGAAGGGATTCCATCTCTATTTTGCCATGTGCTCCTTCACCCCACTCCCCACCCCCGTCTTTCATTTCTTTCTCTGGAAAAGATACTTCAACTCACAGGACTGCGATGTTGAAACGGACACCCAAGAGCATCACAGATGGGCCAGGCCTGGACCTCTCGGGACAACATTCCTCACGACTTTTAGATAGAAGAGATTAGAGATTTGGGACTGGTGGCAACTGGTAACGTTTTCAGTGTTTGGTAAACAGCCAGGGTCCGGAGCTCTGGGAACAGCCTGATTTAGCTCTTTGTTTAAGTTTTGTGTTAGAGGCTCCCAAGAAGCTGATGCAGGGGAAAGAAATTAACAACCATGGCTCATTCACAGCCAGGCAGCCAAATGGACAGCTCTATAAGACTCAAGCCGACAGCGGAGAGAGTGCAACCAAACAGCCTTGGCCCAGCTTTCAGAGGAGAACGTTATTCACCCCAACTGCTCTGCATCTGCCTGGATGTCTGCCAAGATCTGTGAGCATTACAGCGTTGGTATGCTTTGGGTGAGGCCTGTGGCTATGGCAACAAGTTGGGAGCAACCCGGTCCCTGGGAATGAGAACAGTGTCTAAAATCAGGCAGGCGAGGGGCAGGGAGGAGAGGTAAAGGTTGGACTTGCCTGAAGATGGAGCCGTTTTATTGTTGTGGGTAAAGCTGCTACCATTAGGGGCTGTTTACAGAGTGGGTGCAGCTCAAGCTGGGAGCATGTTAGACTCAGCGACTACGATCAACCTATTGACTTGTTCCCATGAGACAGAGTAAATTAACTGTTGCAGTACTGGTCATGTACCACCAACCTCCTGTGAACCAGCCCTCAGTGAAACATTTATGTGAAAGGCCATGGTGTTCCCATAAGAGGGTGCATGTTCTCTCCCTTGACTAACTCTTCAGTATGCCTCATTCTCACGCGCTGGTGTGCAGGAAGGAGTCCAACATGCCCCATTGACAGTCATGCCCTGTATGTGGAAAGTCTTCAGGTAGAGCACTGGGCTCAGGTTTGAAGATGTGAGTTCTAATCCTAGCAAGGCCATTACCTCCCAGTGACCTCATGTCTCGATTTCCTCAACCACAAAACAAAGGCATTGGTGAGCTGACCTCTAAGGCCTCTCCAGTTCTCACCTTCTGTGTCTCTACAGACTGGAGACTAGAAGATTATGGGCACTTTTATTGAGTCTTCATTTTGTTTCCATTTCTTTGTAGTCATCAGCTGGAGTTGAGGACAAGTTTTAACAATAGATAGGTTTCTTTTTGTCTCTTTTTAAAAAATTTTATTTAAAATAAATGCCAAGTGTAGTGGCTCATACCTGTAATCCCAGCACTTTGGGGAGGCCAAGGTGGGAGGATTGCTTTTGAGTTTGAGACCAGCCTGGGCAACGTGGTGAGACCCTGTTTGTACAAAAAATTTTAAATTAGCCAGGCATGGTGGCGTGTGCCTATAGTCCTAGCTACTCTGGAGGTAGAGGCAGGAGGATCCCTTGAACCTGGGAGGTTGAGGCCACAGTGAGCTGTGATTGTGCTATTGAACTCTAGCCTGGGCAACAGAGCAAGACCCTGTCTCTTAAAAAAGACTATTTTTTAAGAACACTTTTAGGTTCACAGCGAAATTTGGAGGAAACTTGGCATATGTCATATGCCCCCTGCTCCCATGCATGCACAGCCTCTACCATTAGCAATGTCCCCACTCAAATGGTACCTTTGTTGTAATCAACAACCCTGTACTGACACATCATCATCACCCAAACTCCATAGTTCACATTAGGTTTCACTCTTGGTGTGGTGTACATTCCATGGGCTTGAACAACTGTATAATGACATTATCCACCACTGCAGGATCATACAGAGTAGTCTCACTGCCCTAAAACTACTCTGTGCTCCACCTGTTTGTCCCTTCTTTCACTCTAAACTCCTGGCAACAACTGACCTTTTTACTGCCTCGATAGCTTTGCCTTCTTCGGAATGTCATGTAGTTGAAATCATACATCATGAAGCCTTTTCAGATTGGCTTCATATAGGTTTCCTTCCTTCCTTCCTCCCACCACCTTCCTTTCTTTCTGTATTCCTAACTCTTGGATGTATTTTCCCCAGCATCATGACTTGATGGGACTTTTGCTAAGATAGGCAATCATAGAAAGTCATAAATCTCTTGTCAGCCTTATTGGCTCACCTCCGAGATGGTTCCAACACTCTTTAAGGCCCACTTTTCCAATCCACAGATTCCCCAGCAGAAGTCCAAGCTGCTGAGCCTCACATCATCTTTTGCACTAGTAATCTTTACCACTACTTCACTGTAGCATTTGAAAATTTTCATATGAAGCCATAGTTCTGTGTCTTTTTTTTTTTTTTTTTTTTTTTGGAGACGGAGTCTTAACCTGTTGCCCAGGCTGGAGTGCAGTGGCACAGTCTTAGCTCACTGCAAGCTCCGCCTCACGGGTTCAAGTGATTCTTGCCTCAGCCTCCCAAGTAGCTGGGATTACAGGCGCGCCACCATGCCCAGCTAAATTTGTTGGCATTTTTAGTAGAGATGGGGTTTCACCATGTTGGCCAGGCTGGTCTCAAACTCCTTACCTCAGGTGATCTGCCTGCCTCAGCCTCCCAAAGTGCTGGGATTAAAGGTGTGAGCCACCGCACCTGGCCTGAAGCCATAGTTCTTAACCTCAGTTGTGCAATAGAATTATCTGGGGAATTTAAAAATTAGAAAAAACCCATGCCCTGAAGATTGTGATCTAACTGGTCTTGCGTAGCGCCTGGGCATTGGTATTTTTTAAATGTTTCCCAACTGATACTAATGTGGCCATTCTGCAAGCCACAGTTGAAAGGCTTATTCAAGCATCCTGTTGCTGAATGCATGTCGTCCTTACCACATGACTCTGGAGGTTTTCTTGTATTCTGATGTGGCTGCCCTGTTGAGGCCTGCCCCTTAGAGTGGAGATTATCCCCTGCAGTAGGCTGCCTGGAATATGATCCCCAGTGATCCCTGCTTCCTGGTATTCAGGCCCTGGTGTGATCCCTTTCCCTTGAAGCCTGGGCTGGATTAGTGACTTGCTTCTAACCAACAGCATATGGCAAAAATAAATGTTTATTGTTTTAAACCTCTGTTTTAGGGTCATTTATTACACAGCAAAGATAACGAATATACTTTCTGAAAGAAGGGGAGGCTCTTTAGACAGGAACATGTTCCTGTGGGAGCCACACCTTATGTTGATTTTGAAGAATGGAGGGTCTAATAATGTGTCCCCAGGGGAAGTGATAGGGGGGCCCAGACTGCTTGGGGCTGGAAAGGCAGGTGACAAATAAGCAGACTCTTGGCTGGCTAGACTGGTGCTTCTGCTATGCGCACATACGTAGGAGAGCCTGGGCAGTCCTGCTAAACTGTGGATTCTGGTTCAGCAGATCTGGGTTAGTGTCCAGGAATTCTACAAACTCCCAGGGGGTGCTGATGCTGCTGGTCTGGGGACCATATTTTAGGGGACAAGGAACTGTTCTAATTGAATTCATGTTCCTCTCTGCTTGCTTCCTTTTTTAAATACAGCAGTCTTCTTTCCACCAATGACCCCTCGCGCTGCTTCCAGAAGCCAAGAAAGTGGGCTTTGTCCTTGGGGATTTAGGAGGCGGAGCGGCGCCCCCTTGAGGCCACATGGTGGAGGCAGCGATGAGACCTGGAGTCTAAAATTCAGACTGAATCACAGGAAGAAGCTATTTACACAAGTCAAACATGGTCCAATCTTGGCAATTTCATAAGGTTCCAATCCTTAAGGGATCAAAACCTGGCCAACTGCTTCCACCGAGAGGTGTGCCTTTCAATGCCAGGCTTGGAGTGTCCCTCTTTATTTAAAAAGGAGAGGATTCCACAGCAGAGCTTCTCAAACTCTTCCACCCAAATCCCCTCACCACAGAGGGACAGGAGTCCTGGGCATGTAGCCTAAAGCAGCCAGGAGAAAAAAACCTTGACCTTAATTTTTTTAATGATTTCACATGAATCAGTGGAATGTGTTTATGATAAAATCATCTCCTCCTGAAATACATGTGTAAAACTGCTGCCCCAGTTAAACGCACTTAGTCTAACCAAGCCCTAGGATTGGCCTCTCCAGCATGAGAAGCATTTCCAGCACTCCAGCTCCCCAGCTCCCACTCTGGGATCCCACCTCAGACCCTCCCACTTCCTTGCACTCTGGCCTCTCGCTCTTGACCCTGCTCCCGCCACGCTCTTTCCTCAGAGTCCATCAGTCCTGTCTTGTCTTCACCTTGGTCTCTGCCAAGTGTGGGTCCAAGTCATATATTTGGGCTGTGATCACAGGAACCCCAAGCCCCAGACCTCCCAAAGCACCCTATGGAGAGACCTTACCCTCCTGGACAGACCCTCTCCCCCCAGCTAGACCTCATCCTCTGGGTAGACCCATCTCCCCAACCAGAACTCACCCTCCTGAGTAAACCCCATCCCCCTAGCTAGACTTCATCCTCCTGGACAGATCCCATCCCCCCAGCTAGACCTCACCCTCTTGGGTAGATGCATCTCCCCAACCAGAACTCTCCTGGGTAGACCCCTTCTACCCAGCTAGACCTGATCCTCTGGACAGACCCCATCATCCCAGCTAGACTTCTCCCTCCTGGACTGTCCCCATCCCCCCTCCAGCCAGACCTCACCCCTCTGGGTAGACCCCATCCCCCCAACTAGACCTCACCCTCCTGGATGGACTCTACCCTCCTGGAGATACCTTCCCCTCCTGGGTACATCCCACGTGGCTACACACTCCTTCCCCTGTCAGCTTTCTCCCCCAGGGTTCTGGGCAGCAGAGTCTGTGATAAAGGATACTAAGTGATTCCCCAATACTTCCCGTTTCCAGCCTCCAGTGGGCTCTCCCTGGGGCTAACGGTTCTTTTTGCTATTTCTCCAGGCTTTGCCTGATGACAAGTATACTCTGAGAGTGTCCTAATGATACAGATTTTGGACCCTATCCCAGTTCTACTGAATCCAAGTCTCTGGGGGAGGAGTTGGGGCTCTGCATCTGGACACCTTCCTGCAGGGTCCCTCCTGGGAGGCAAGCCCGGGGAGCACCGCTGAGGCTCGCCTCAGTGCCCATCCTAGACCTTCAGCAGCTAGCAGAGGATGTCCCCACCATCCCTCAGCCCACACTCCCACTGTCGCCCCAGCCAGGCTTGGCACTGCCTCCTTTCTCAGAAGATTAAGACCATCTGCTGTTTCCCAAGTTTCCCACCCTCCACCCTAAAAATTTCTCCGTTTCCCAGTCTTTCCTCGTCTCTCAGAAAATAAACATCTTCCCAGGCTGCCTCCCCAGTGGGTCTGCACTCCTTGCTGTCTTCCCAGCACCTGCCCTTCCAGCCCGCCCTCTGTGTGTCCAGTGTTTCCCTCACCAAAGGACTCGCTTTGTTTTTCAAATTGGAGGTTTTGTCTTCTCCCTAAAAACCAAAACATCTCCCTGAGAAGTAACTCCCTCAAGCTACTGATACGGAAGGGGGGCGGGGAAGTGCTGGGAAGGGAAGGGTGTGGTCCCTGGCTAGGGCTCCACCCCCGGGCCTGTGCCCACAGACCTAGGTGAGGACAGGCATTTCTGTTTTCGTGCTTAAATGTTGGATTTCCCAAGACTACCCTGGCCTACCACACCCTCATTCTGTGCCTGTAAAAAAACCTGAGAGCTTAGCAGGCACGCACACAAGCCTCTGGACGTCAAGAGGAACACACCGGTGTAAGAGCAGACTGATAGTGGCCCACGGCAGGCTGGCAGGCCATCGACAGGCAGAACCACTCAGTGCAGCTGGAGGACAGCCTGGCCACGGAGCGGTCCGACTTCAGAGGGGAAAACCACCTCCCCACTCCGTCTCCCTTCTGGCTCCCCCATCTGAGAGCTACTTCCACTCAATAAAACCTTGCACTCATTCTCCAAGCCCATGTGTGATCTGATTCTTTTGGTGCACGGAGGCAAGAAACCTCAGGATACAGAAAGCCTCTGTCCTTGGAATAAGGCAGGAGGTCTAACAGCTGACTAGGGATGGCTCAACTGAAACAGCATCCTGTAACACAGGCCCATTGGGACCTCAGGAGCTGTAAACATTCACCCTTAGACATTGCTGTGGGGTTGGAGCCCCACCACCTGCCCATCTGCATGCTCCCCCTACAGGTTTGAGCAGCGGGGCACAGAAGAAGCCAGCCACACCTCCATCGCAAGCCCTGCCACGGGGATAAGGGAACTTTTCCCGTTTTGCCACCAGCTCAAGCCCCGCCTTCCTGTCACTCCACACTCTTCATCTCTGTGTATGGGTGTGGTCTTCCTCAGTTCCTTCTCTGGCCTCACACAGTGCCCTGAATAATGCTTTGCAAGGCCTTTGCCAGGAGCCTAGGTGAAAGGCAGAAGAGGTGCCCCTGCAGCATCGCAAGGTAGAGATCGTGGTTACAAGATGGGGACTAGACTCCCAGTTTGCCCTTGGACTGGGCAGCCCCTTGGATTTTGTTTTCCCTGACGTTGCTGTTCTGATCCAAGGCCTTGTGGCCTCGCTACAGACACCCAAGGCCAGGCCTATCTTTGCATGAATAACTAAAGAAAGCCTAGAGGATGAGTAAAATGACCACACTGTATGGCTTTGGAGGACTGGAAGTTACTGAGGACTATGAGTGGGTTTTTTGCATAGACTGCAGTAAAGGTCCTCAGAAAAGACCCTCAAGAGCTATGGGGGGGTCTGGTCAAATGCCACTTCTAGACTGGACTCCAAAACTGGTGCTGATTATTTTCACTCCTACCCCACCCACCAGCCTGATAGGCGATTCCTGAAGTAGCAGTGGGGCGCTCAGTGGTGCTCACCAGGCCCAGAGCTCAGTCCTTCCCCCATTCTGCCTGATGGGGCTTGTGTAACCAAGGATGACAGATGGGACAATCCCTGTTGGTAAAGACTGAGTTGATTCTGACCAGGACCAGAGATAAAACCCAGCACCTTTATCTTTCCCCTTTGTACCTTCTTCAGAAAGACCTTCTTCTGCAGCAGTTCTGGAACTGTGATCTGTGAGGTGTGGTTGCAAGAATTCTTTATTTTTTTATTTTATTTTTTTCAGACAAAGTCTCACTCTGTCGCCCAGGCTGGAGTGCAATGGTGCGATCTCGGCCCACTGCAACCTCCGCCTCCCAGGTTCAAATGATTCTCCTGCCTCAGCCTCCTGAGTAGCTGGGATTACAAGCATGTGCCTCCACGTCCAGCTAATTTTTGTATTTTTAGCAGAGACGGGGTTTCATCATGTTGGTCAGGCTAGTCTCAAACTCTTGACCTCATGATACACCTGCCTTGGCCTCCTGAAGTGCTGGGATTACAGGCGTAAGCCACCACGCCTGGCCTGGCAAGAATTCTTTTATAAAGAATTCTAGGTCTATTAAACCCAGATTCTTCAACTAGAACAGGCACACAGGAAAAAGGTTCACTAAAAACCCTGTTCTCTTGCCTCATTTTGGTGATTTCCAGCTAGGCTGTTGGGATAGGCATATGTAAGTGTCACTTCCATCTTTTCATAGGTATCTCACAGAATCTCTGACCAATGGAGAGCTAATCAAAGACAAGTTTAATAGGTGAAGAAAATACTTGGATTGGGAGGATGGCTGAAAAGTCCCATTGAACAAGGCCCTCAAATGGAGTTCCTGTGGAGTGGTCACCTTTTTGATGACTTCAACTGGGAACATCAGTACGGAACCATCGCTGGGTGTTCATTCCATCACCCCTTCCTATGTCCCTGCTCAGGACACCCTGCGTCTGTCTATATGCATTGCTACCAGTTTAGACAGTGAGTTACATTTAGTCCATTTGTGCATTGTTCTTTATTGTATCCATGGTATCTAGCACAATTCTTGTTCTTATTAGAGCTTGGTAAATGTCATTGATTAATCCAGGGCAGATTATCTCTCTCATTTTCGTGAATCCTCTGCATAAACAATTTGATTAAAAATTTATGACAAAATTCATGAGGCATGGTGATGTATACACTGATCAATTGATTTAGAGTGATAGGTAGACAAGATGCATTTACATATTTATCTATTGTCCTTTCAGTGTGAAGTTTCTTCTTAGTGGCAAAAGTTCTGGCTACTTGTATATCTCTCATGGAACGTCATTATTACTGGCAGTGCCGTGGCTCTTCTTCACTTTTTTGTATTGAAGCAACACAGATCATACCTCTGTAGTTCCCTGATACCATGTGTTTAATGGTAGTTACATCATCACTCAAGAGGCTGCCTTGTCCAGCGTATATCTTCCATACTGGCTTCCACTGACCCTCTGAAAGCTGTTACTGTGCTTCCATTGGCAATGATCACAATTGCAAATCTTATCCAGAGCATGCAGAAAAATGTGAACAGTAATTCATCTTCTGGTCATGAAATGCACTGTTCTGAAATTTATGATGTAAAGGTAGAAGAACACATCTTCCAACCACATTTTCTCTTCACTCTTTAGACTGGCATCCTGTGTTTTCAGAGGGTTAACTCCATGCCTGCCTAACACAGAAAGTTAAATCTTTCTGTGTTAACTCCACGCCTGCCTTCTACACTCCATCACCAAAGGAAAGGACAGGCCAGAGGCCCTGGGTGGAACAGCTAGAGGGATCTCATTCAGCAAGGAATGTTCATCCCTCCTCTGGCATAGCCTAAGCCCTGAGAGAGCACAACGTCATCACATCCACTGGAATCAAGAGCATACCTGGTTGGAAACTTGGAGTGATGTCTCACAAGCCCTGGGTACTACCTGACACATGGCACAGAGCCTACAGAGGGGGTGACAGTGCCATTGATGGAGCACAGGGTAATGGATGCTTGCCATTCCCTCTACCTCACTGTTTCTGGGTGCTGCAGGCCACAGCTGCCACTAAGTAGGAATACAGAGGAGGGAGAGCTGCTGTGAGGGCCACTGATGCTGCTGAAGGTGAGGGTCTGGGATAGATCAACTTTAGCCCAGGACACTGTACTCATCCAGTGCCTGATGTGAGTGAGTAACCCCAGATCAGTGTGTCAGCACTCCAATATGGCCATAAATATGAGCTGAGGCAGGAGCGCTGGTATAGCCGCGGTGGGTGACATGGGGGTCTGGGCTACCAGCTTATGTGGATTACTCATGCGTATCCTCCAGTCCTGCCTAGGTTTGATCTTAGATATACAATTTCCACCCTATGATGCATCTTGTCCCACTGCTGACACCTACAACCTCATGAGGTCCGTGAGATAACACGGCTCCAGTGGCAGGTGTGCTTGCACTCCAGTTCGGACCTGTTGCAGAGCTCTTTCCTAGTTTAGGCTCCACTCAAAGTTAGCACCCTTTTGTGTCATCCAGTATAGGGGCTGAAGCAGCATTCCTAGGTATGAAATGTGTTGCCATCAGAAGCAAATGAGGCACACCATGCACTGTGCTTCCTTCTTTGTGGTAGGGAATGCAAGATGCAGTGGTTTTATTTGAATTTAGAGGAGATATTCAGGAATGACCCTGAGCATTGGATCCGTAAGGACTTTATTGACATGTATATCTCTCAATCTTTATAGGGTTTATTTCCCATCCTCTCTAGTGCATGTATCTTACCAAGACCTCTAGTGAGATAGCCATCTATTGTTGGTTCTGCCCCATCACCAAGGTGTCATGATGTTCTGTGGGACATTCAGGTGGTCCACATATCCTCAAGCTATTTTAGGACAGAAGGCAGTAGAGTTCATTTAGCCCTGAGGCAAAACTTCAGTTTAATATTGTTTTCTATCCTACCTAAATACAAACCATTTCTGATCCTCTTTCTTGATTGGAATGGAAAAGAATGCATCTCCCATGTCAATGGTTGTACCGAAAGCCTCACTAATTGGTTCTACCAAAGATACTATGTCTAGTACAGCACCTGCAATCAGGGTTACTATTTGTTTAATCCTGGTGTAGACTACAGTCATTCTCCAGGGTTTATCCAGTTTCTGCAGGGGCTAAGCTGGTGAATTAAACAGAGATATGGTTAATAGCACTGCCTTGTACCCTTGAGGATTTTAATGGTGATACAAATTTCTGCCATCCACTTCAGAATGCAATATTATTTTTGATTGACAACCTCAGCTGACAGTGGTATTTTCAGAGTTTCCATTTGGTGCCCTCCACTATGACAGGTCATAGCCCATGGGCCAGAGACCCAATGTTAAGGCTAATCCAACTATCAAGTAGATCAGTTCCATCTGTGCACTCAGGAAACAGGGCAATGCCCACAGCATGTTAGTGGACTCCGCAGGACCATTAGGAGCTGGACATTAGCTAGGGCTCCACTTAGTCTCTGTCCGTGGGGGGCCCCACTCTAACAGGGGACTGTGATGACACTGTGGGTACCCAAGTGTCCATGTCAACTCAGACCTGTGTCCAGTAGTCCTTGGACTGTCTGAGACTTCCCCTTTCCTCAGTGATTAGCCACCTGAGTAAACATCCATAGGTCCCTTTGGGTAAGGACTACTTTTGTGGGTTGAATTGTGCCCCTTCCAAAAAGATCTCCAAAAGATCTGTTGCAGTCCAAACCCCCAAACCTCAGAATGTGGCCTTATTTGGAAAAAGAGTTTTAACCACATGGAGATGAGGTCATTAGGGTGGATCCCACTCCAGTATGACTGGAGTCCTTATGAAAGGGTGAAATGTGGATTGATTCTTGCTGTACGGAAGCCATGAGGATTCCTGAGACAATGCATGAGTACACTCTACATTGAAGATGTCCAATCTGAGCCACTCCCCTTTCCACACCCAGGACACACATTCAGAGATCATTTTTCCCCCAGAGGGACTGATTCAGCCCCTGAAACATTCTCAATACAGTGTAGCAAGTGGTCTCTGAAATGAAATCTTATTCTCAAACAGGACCTAGATACTGGCCTAGCCCTCTGTCTCCAGAAACTCTTTGATGGGAGCCCTGAGGCATTTCAAGGGCTTACTAACCGGCAGCTAGGTTTAATGAGTATATTCTGTAACTTCCAGGTATTCTGTTAGGACACTGTTATCCAAACAGTGCATAACAAAACTTTGGTTCACTGGAAAGACATTCATTTCCTTGGGTTCTTTGCCAATTTTTGCTTTAGGGAAGTAGAGGGTGGAGGCTCTGGTCACCATGGTGAAGACAGACAGGAGGACAGTTGGATGTGCCTGTGTAGAATGGAGTGGGTGTGGTTGTGGGAGTGGGTTCTGAAGGGTGTGTTGTTCTGTGGGGTGAGAGTGAAGGCATGTGCTTCTCCAAGAGTCTCAAAGATAAAGAGAAAAGGGGGATAGATTTCTGTCTGCTCCTTTCTCTTTTACTATCCCAGCTAATCAGACTTGTGAGCAACTCTGGATGGAATGAAAATGAATTCTCCTCAAAGCAGTCTGTGTTGGGATCTACTGAGACGTGCTCACAAACACATGCAACACATACATCCTCATGCATGCACACACATGCATGCACAAGCACACATGCACACACAAGCACACATATATATCCCACCAATATTTTTAGCAGTGTTCATACAGGCAGTGTTGCAAAAAGGCTGGAAGCATTTCCATGTTCAGCAAAGCTCCAGGCTGTGCTGTGTATTAATAGCCTACTGGCCAACACATGCACAGTGTTTCATGATGATAGCATCTTATTGTTTTATTTAAGTTGTTTGTTTTCTTTTTGGCCAAGGGAGGAAATGGGCCACCTTCTCTTCCCTTTCTCCTTTCTCCTAATAACTGTCCACATGCACATTTCTATATTTAACTCTTTGGTGTCAAGGAGAGGGAAATCTTGTAATTTTCTGGCATACTGTGTATGTCTTCTGTTTCTAATGCCTGTTGACCTTGAAAAAGAATCCTACTTGCCTTTGGCAGCCTCAGGAAAATTTCTTTTCCTAGCCCTTTTATTCAGAAGCCTTGATCCTTCCTTCTGAGGAAGAATTTGTGTCATGGAGATTATAGTCATTCTCCAGGATTTATCCAGTTTCTGCAGGGGCAGAGGCTTGTGGTAGTCTGTCTTGTGTAGACTTTAAAGCCCATGCTGGTTACATGGTGAAAAATTAGGTTTTGTACATTTTCCTTATGTTTACTTTCCCCCTTTGCTCCTTGCATGACATCTTCACGTCCTTGATATTTATTGATTATTTCAGATAAGAGCCCTTCTGTACATGTTGTGTGTGTGTGTGTGTGTGTATTGAGAAAGGGAAAGGAAGGAAAAAGGGAGAGGAAGGCAAATACAGGGGAACAAAGACAGAGTTTGCACAACCCCTGCTGGGCCAGCAACCTCTGCCAGTGAATGAAAAACAAACCTGAAAAGGACTTTCACTTTCTAAAGCAGTGGTTTCAATAAAGTACTATTTCACACCAGTCAGAATGGCTATTATGAAAAAGTCAAAAAATAACAGATGCTGGAGAGGTTGAGGAGAAAGGGAATACTTACACACTTTGGTGAGAATGCAAATTAATGCAGCCCCTGTGGAAAGCAGTTTGCAGATTTCTTAAAGATCTAAAATAGAATGAATATTAGACCAAGCAATCCCATTACTAGGTATATACCCAAAGGAATATAAATAGTCCTACCAAAAAGACACCTGCACACGTATGTTCATTGCAGCACTGTTCACAATAGTGAAGACATGTGATCAACCCAGGTGCCCATCGACTGTGGACTGGATTAAAAAAATGTGGTACATATTTTTATACCACATTTTTTTGGCCATGGAATACTGTGCAGTCATAAAAAACAAGGAAATCATGTCCTTTGCAGCAACATGGATGCAGCTGGCAGTCGTTATTCTAAGCAAACTAATGCAGAAACAGAAAACCAAATGCCACATGCTCTCACTTATAAGTGGGATCTAAACACTGGGTACATAAGGACATAAACATGGGAATAACAGACACCAGGGACCCCAAAAGGAAGGAGGGAGAGGGGGGCAATGGAAGAAAACCTAACTATCCGGTACTATGTTGGGCGACTGGATCATCATCAGAAGCACAAACCTTATCATAACGCAATATACTTATGTAACAAACCTGCATACAAATACCCCTGAATCTAAAATAAATAAAACAATGGTTCGGGGGAATAGGCTGGTGAGGCTCTTGGCCAGATTGTAGTGCTCTGGGGAGGGTAGAGCTGTCAGGATAAGAGGACCAAATACAGAGAACTTGGAACCCCACGATGAGAAATTTGCATTTAATTGGCAGTGAAGAGCAATGGAAAATATGTGTGCCAGGGAGCGCCAGGTGCAGGCTCACTGGAGTGGAGGGAGCCTGGGGCTGGGGAGGCGCACTGGGCTGCTGTTGGAACCCTCCGGAGGGCGGAACTGCGGCGGGAGCTGTAGGAATGCTGTGGAGCTAACAGTCAGGAAGGACATTTCAGAGGTCTGTGACTGGCCACTGACCTGATCAGGAGTGCAGGAAGCGGCAGGAGGCAGAGATGGCTCCCAGCCAGGATCCGGAGGCCCGGGAGGGGCGGGTCTTCCAGCCTGGAGGGTGAGGCCTGGAGTGGGCGGGGCTCCCAGCCAGGAGGGTGAGGACTGGAGTGGGCGGGGCTTCCAGCCAGGAGATGAGGCCTGGAATGGGCGGGGCTCTCAGCCTGGAGGGTGAGGACTGGAGTGGGCGGGGCTTCCAGCCAGGAGATGAGGCCTGGAATGGGCGGGGCTCTCAGCCTGGAAAGGCGGACTGGAGGGGGCGGGGCTCCCAGCCAGGAGCTGAAAGCCCCGGAGGAGGAGGCCCAGGAAGGGGCGGGGCTCCCAGCCGGTAATGGGAGGCCTGGAGGGGGATGGACTTTAAAAAGGAAGCAGAAAGGCCAGGAGGACGAGCTTCACTGGAGGTGGGTAAGTTTTGTTTCAGACCTGTAGGGCTGAAAGTGTTGACGAACACCTGGGAGAAAATGTCCAGTCACCGTCACTGCAAATGCGGGTCCGACCTTCAGGAGAGGGATTTGGACTGAAGATGTGGGTAGGAGCACCCTCTCTTAGACAAGAAAAATTGAGACTAAGAGGAGATGAGATCGCTGGGGGATCATAATTAAGTAAAAACTTGTATCTCTAAAATCCGTCCTGACATTTTCATTTATAGGATATACATATGTATGTATCTGTTATAATCTGAAATGTGTCCCTCAAAATTCATATTTGAAGCCCTAACCTCCTCATACCTCAGACTGGGACTGTATTTGGAGATGAGGCCTTTAAAAAGATAATTAAGGTAAAACGAAGGCATTAGAATGGGCTCTAATCCAATATGTCAGGAGTCCTTATAGGAAGAGGAGATGAGGACACAGACACCCACAGAGGGAAGACGGTGTGAGGACACAGGGAGAGGACACCATCTGCAAGCCCAGGAGGGAGGCCTCAGGAGAAACCAATCCCGCCCACACCTGGATGTGGGGCTTCCAGCCCCCAGCACTGCGAGGGAATAAAGCTCCGTTGTGTAAGCTGCCGCATCTGTGGTATTTTATTATGGCAGCCCCAGCTACTAATACAGTACCCCTACCGATACATACATATTTACCCACATGTAGCCACACACATGTGCACATATGTAATCTTTTTGCCTATAAAAAAGTAAGCAATGCCTAAAAGTACAGGTGGAGAGAAGGCTAAAAAGCACAGGCTCGAAGAGACTGCCAAGATACAACGATCCAACAAAGACACATCGTATCAACAGTAATGATTTCCTAAATGTGAAGGTAATTTGGATGGCTGGTTTATAGTTTTCATGCCCGGGAGTTTTCCAAGGCACAATGTATACCCTTTGCGGCAGCTTACTCTCCTGAAATGTGCCTTCATGAAATTAGATAAACAGGGAGAAGATATGAAGTACATCTGCCTAACACCACGTTAGAAGAATCCCCGGGCATTTGCATCTTATGCGATGATATGCTGGCAAACCTTGGCCAACTTCCAGTCTTGTCCTTATGACAGGGGACTGCTGTGTTGAGTTCCCGTCTCAGGCCTCACATCCACCTTGGCCCTGCCTTGGGAGCCTGTAGGTGTGGGCAGAAAAGAGGGACGCTGCCTTCCTGGCTGGGCCTTTCTTCACACACAGGCACGAGGACCCAAGCTCTAAAGGATGAAGTCCCCATGGTCTCCGAAGTTTTCATTATCATCCCCCTCCTAAAGCTCCACCTTGGAGGCAATGCACTGTAACAAAAGGACCAGCACAGTGCCCAGCACACAGAAAGCTATCAATCAATGTCAGCCTTAACCATTATGTTGGTTGACTTGCCATCCCTCTTCCTCAACTGCAAACTATGTGAGAGAAAGATTCATGTAACCTTGGTATTACACAACTCCATCGTGGTGGGTTCAGTTGCATTTGTCAAATGATTCAGAGTAGGACAACGGGAATTTTCTTTACAACATCACAGCATTGTAAAGTCTTTGCTTTGCACGAAAGTGTGGGACTGAAGAAATGATTGTGCAGGTTGAAACTGTGAAGCAATTTTAAGAAGCAACAAGGAAAATTATGATTGTTTCATAATCTTCAAAAAATTTTTAAAGTGTTAAGAACTGTTTTACTACTGGTCGTAAATGTATAAGAACATTTAAAGATAGCAAATTGAATACTTATTTAGCCTGTCATAATTTAAAAAATGAGAAACATTGAGAAATAGTGTTTTATTTCTTTGTAAAAGACTTATGGAGAGTAAATTGAAAAGGGCTTTGCCACCTTCTCATTGTGAAACTTACAGTATGGACCAGGCATCTTTTCTATGCCTTGGCAAATTGTCACATTCCTTTCTATATTTGGATAGGCTTCCTACATTTTGTCCTGCACACTTTCAGTGCTGTGAAATATCTCCAAGAGTTTCTTTAATATGAAGTTTTTGCCAGCATCTTTATCCTGAGTCCCTCAAAAGACACATCCAGAATCTCTCAAAAGACAACAGCATCAACTTTCCCACCATCAGCTCTTTCTTCTCTAAACTCGTTTACGTCTGAGTCAACTTTCACCTCCTGCATTCTCACTTTTTGTTTCTTTGCTATACTTTCCTCTTCATTGGCTACCTACCTCTCTTGAGTATTCATTTCTGTGAAATGTCACGTGGGTTTGTCACTGGGAGCCAAGAGAGCAGCACGACCACACGCTTTGCTGTCTGTGTGGGAACTGATAACACGGAAGGACTGAAGGACGTGATGCGGTTAATCACTGATCATGATGCACATCTGTTATTACGTGGTGGTCTGTGGACTGCAGAGCAAGCAGCAGAGGTTGTCCCCCATGCAATCACTCACAGTTAATGGTGACTGAAATTGGAACCATGTTGTTAGGGGGCTGGTGTTATTTAACCTCAGTTGCCACAGGGCAATGAAAATTCGTGCGTTTGGGAACTATGCAAGGTGAGGACTGCCTGAATGTTCCATAATGTGATGAGTGCCTCACAAACAGGGTGTATATTATCACTGAGTTTTTTCATTATTCTTGACCTTCAATATATAGACATTCTTGTTGATGGTATCAGGTTGTTTCTGCGTGAATGAGCTTTACTCCTCTGAGAAATGGCATTCCTGACCCTCCTCTTTGAATCAATTGCACAAAAGTATCTGAAGGAAATTTGCTTACCTGCTGCTTTCTATGGAAGCTTTCCTGCAGCATGACCTAGTGTCTGTTTCTGGTTGATGATTAACCATGGGGAACAAGCGTTTGAGATAAAGAAGTTGCAGAACTTTTTAGAGAATGTAATATGTTAATGTGCACTGGGACTCTCCCTGAGCTATATCAAGTTTCCTGGATTCTGAAATGCTATAATTTTAAAAGTGTCATAAGGTTAAAACAGCTTTCTAAGAAGTGCCTTTGTTGGAAGAATACCCAGGAATGGTGCGCTGGACAGCTTTTGTACAAGTCTTGCATTTTCTCAGAACTATCTCTCATCTTGGCCATGGCATCAGTCACATCCTGAGTGGCTCACCTTGACTTGGGTTGCCTCCTACTGCAGTTCTCCTAAACTCTGGTGGGGGACACGGGCACAACCCACCCAATACTCGTATGTGCTTTACCTGGAAATAAGGAGCAGAGGAGCTAGGGGAAGGAGCCGATGGCTAAATGTTCCTGCCTTTTTTCCCTCAGGCAGACAGTTCTAAGGTGCACGCTGTAGGTTGCTGGGACAACCCTGGCAAGATCTTCCCCCAGACATCCACCTTGGCGGCCGACTTATTAACTCATTGGTCTATTGACTTTTGCTCCTTGCCTCGCCCCTGATCCCTGTGCCCTCTTTCTAATAAGCTACCTGCTGGTGAGGCTCTGCCTTGGGGGAAACCCAGGCTGAGGCAGGTGGGATGTTATAACCAGGGAGGCCTGAGTCCTGGGTCTTTGCCTGGGGTCCCCAAATAGGAGAGGGATTGGAGGAGGTATTGTGGGGGAGAGTGTTGCAAAAGCCCAGAGGAAAGGAGTGCTGTTACCACAACAGAGGAGACATGAACCTGCACAGACCAAAAACAGGAGAGAGAGAGGGAAAGAGAAAGAGAAGGGGGAGAAAGAAAGGGAGAGACAGAGGAAGGGAGAGATGGGGAAAGAGGAGAGGAGAAAGGGAGGGAGAGAAAGAAAGGAGATGGAGAGAGAAAAGGGTGGGGAGAGAGATAAAGAGAGAGGTAAAGAGAGAGAGAGAATCATCTACTACATGATTTCTTTTTTTTTTTTTTCTGAGATGGAGTTTCGCTCTTGTTGCCCAGGCTGGAGTGCAGTGGCGTGATCTCGGCTCACTGCAACCTCCATCTCCCGGGTTCAAGCGATTCTCCTACCTCAGCTTCCTGAGTAGCTGGGATTACAGGTGCCTGCCACCACGCCCAGCTAATTTTTGTATTTTTGGTAGAGACGGGGTTTCACCGTGTTGACCAGGCTGGTCTCGAACTCCTGACCTCAGGTGATCCGCCCGCCTCGGCCTCCCAAAGTGCTGGGATTACAGGTGTGAGCCACCGCGCCTGGCCATGATTTTTTTTTTAACCTATAAAAGCCTTGAGTAGTGATGGACGCGATTCCTAGTAATGTGGTTTACTAAAGGGTCAGGCTGTCAGTTCACCACAAATACGCCACAGTAGTGTTTGGTATTCTCTCAATGTTCCACCCACCAGAGCATACAAAACAGCCACATTCCCCAAACACTTAATTCTCAAAACATACTTGTAGAGGAGGGAAGCCTATTACTCCCATTAGAAAGATGGAAAACCAAGGTGAAATGATTAACTGAGCTACCAGGGCCTCAGAAGAAAGTCGCTGCTGAGTTTGGGATTGTGTTTTCAACTTCCTGCCCACTGTGGGTGAGCTCCACCTTTTACTGGAACCAACTCCAAGGAGGAAGTTTTGCTGGGTTTCCTGGAAGGCAGAGGTTTGCATCTGCATGCCCTGCGTGGAGGCATTGTATTTGGGGGCAGGCAGGAGAATACTGTAGCTGGTGTGCCCACAGAAAGGGAGGGAGAGAAGCCACTGGGAGTGAGCTGGGCTTGGGATCGGGCTGTGTCCTCACCAACTGTCTGCCCAGGCATGAACTTGCCACTGCTGTGGAAGAGTCTGACTGCATCCAAGAATGCCAAAGGTTGTGGCTGAACTCACTTCTCAACAGACTTGGATCATGTTCATATACTATTCTTTAAAAGATCACCATTTGTAGTAGAATGTCAAAAACCCAAAGATGTTGCTCCCGATGTTGAGCTGTAACTATTTTCTGTGTTGGTGGAAAAATATGAGAGAATTAGTTGCCATTCATGAATCTCAGTGATACACAGACAAAAGCATGCTTCAATTTTGTTTCTTTGTTTTTGAGTGGTTCTGATTTATTTTCAGCTTTTGGGTGATGTCTGGGGCTGTTTATTGAGGACGGGATAAATGGGGGGGGGACCAAAATATATTTGGCATTTATTGGTGGTGTTTTATATTTGTGACTTGATTTACTTCTTATCACAACCCAGTGAGACACGTACTATTATCATCCTTTTAATAGATGAGCAGCCTGGAGCTTAGAGAGGTTAGGTAGCATGGACATCATCAGGCAAGTTAAATGAGAAAGCCGCCACCCATTCCCAGCTGGGGCTGACCCCAGCGCCTGTGTTATTTCTGTTGCCCTGAGCCTCCCCAGGCTTCTTAACCCACATGTACTCCTAGCTTCCAGCAGTGCTAATTTACACCGTGTACCAGCTGGAGACATTCTGGAGTGTAGACTGACGCAATAATCCCCAATGATAGGTTTGCCATGTTTTTTTTAAATGTGTTTTTTCCTACTTTTTATTATAGATGTCAGAATTTTCTCCTTCCCTGAGTTATCTTTGGACTTAGATGTATATAAATGTATCTGGTTGGAGGTGGGGGGAAAAGTGGAAGTGGAAGACCACAAAAGTAAAAATTACATTTGAGTGTATTTCACCGATTCTAAGAGGAATGCTTTCTTCTGCTCCAACCACTCTGAAATCTCCGGGTCCCATACTCCCATCGCAGCTGTGTGACATGGTTGCCGTGGCCTTTGTGTGAACATCAAAGCTCAGAGGATGGGTGTCAGAGGCTTAGATGAAAATCCTGAAGACAATTGTCTGGCACTTTTCAAAGCTATACGGCCTCACCAAAACCCTCCTGGAAGCTCTTGATGGCTCGAGGTTCAACAGTGTCTGGGAAGACATGGATATAAAAGATCCAGAATCAAAGAGTGATTCCAAAGAGTTAGAGGCTGACTGTGAAGTCTTAGGCATACTGTAACCCAGTGATTTACCTATCTTTGCTTTTCTGCTCATGCAGAAGAGTGATATATGATGAATAAATTCTAAGTTCAATTAGGCCTAAAAGAGCTCTTGTAATATGCTTTAAAAAGTCTAAGTGATAAAACATTGTGACAGATAGAGTTCTGTCAGTGTTTATATTTTCTTAGTCCTTCATTAAATAACAGTGTGTCTTACACCAAGGCAGTTTTGGATTCCATAAAATATGGTAGTAGTTATGTTTCATGTTTCAATAGTCATCAATCTGTTTTTAATGTATTCATGGAAAAATATGTGGGCCATCTTGCTATTTAACTATTTTTGAAATCTCATGGAAGCCTGCCAATGTTTTTGCAATTTAGCTAAGAAGCTGTCTTGCTTTTTGAGAGGGGAAGTTCCAATATTGTAAGCCTAGGTTTCTGAATATATTTTTGTTTTTTAATAAATGTAGAAAGAATGTTTTTTGTTAATCCTGGCATTTGTCTAGAGCAAAAGCAAAATAAATGAAAAGTGAGGAAAATTAAAAGGCTCACGTTATAACATGTGCTGTCTAGAGAATAAAAACTCATTTGTGCAAAGTTGGTATGGCTTTTATGAAAATATTTCAGTCCGAGCACCTTGCCTGTTTGCTGCAGTGCTGACTGACTCATGATTAGGGATCTGTGTTGCCTTTATTGCTCTCGGTTTGCCCTATGGCTTGATTTATTAATATATTTAAATATACAATTTTAACCTTATCATTGGTGTGCAGGTGTATTTATTTATACTATCTTTGCTTTTAGAAAAACACTATTATATCATAAAAATATTTTAACCTTAAATTACTTCCCACAGGCTTCAAGTTTTATGCAGTTCATATCTGGGCATAAAGAGAAATCAATATACTGTGGCCTGCAGGGCACCAGCCTTTGGTGTTTGTCAAACGTTTACAGATAACTAATGTCCCACATAAAATAGATCCATTCTTTCCATCTTGCACATCTTGCACCTTTCTTTTTTTTTTTTTTGTATGACCACTGCCGTGTAGCCATCATGTCTGGACTGATAGTAGTTTCTAGGCTTGGAGGAAACTGCATTTTCAAGAAAGCAGGATGCAGACATCCCCTGAGGAACACCTGCATTAAACATAGCCTCCCACCTAAAAAGAGCTCCCTGAGTTGGGAAGTGTCTTATTGGCCTCTCCTTCCGGCCTCTCCCACTCCCTATGCTGAAACCAAGAGCTTCGGGGCTCCCCTCCCTGCCCACCCTGGCAGGGAGCCCAGGGCCCTCGTTGCTCTCCCTGTCTCCTATGCTGTCCGAGAACCCCTGCAGCTCCAGGCCCTGGACCAGCCACAGAGTTTACTTCTACTGTTGCAATACTTTGAAGGGAGAAGAGTTTCAGCCTTTTTGATCAGTGGGGCTTCTACTTAAAATCCTTCCATGGCACCCCATTATCTCAGGGTAACGTCCAGACTCCTAAAGTGGCTTCCAAAGTCCTTCATTATCTGATGGGCCTCTGTGTACTTTCTCTCTCTTCTCTCTCCATTCCTGGCCCTCCTCATCAATTCTCTGGCCATTTTGAACTTGACTCAGTCTCCCCAATGTGCCAGGCTTTCCCTGGCTTCCCGGCTCTGCGGGAGGATGAGAGTGGGCTCAACTGTCTTTTGAGGGAATCCTGGAAACACACCCACCCTGAGAGTCATTGTTTTGATGGAAGTGACATTCCAAACCAACATTTGGAACCAAGTCCTGTAAGCCAGAACCTGCACAGGTTTTGTTAAAGGAATCAATTTAGGCCTGGCACTGAACTCCTTTCTGCTGTAAGACTCTTTTAGAACTTTGGAAGTTTCTATGCAGGGGACTGAGCCATCCTGTCCCTGCCTGGTTGGGCATGAGAAGTCACTTGGAATAGGTCTGAGTGAATGCTGATGAACTCCGACTTAGCTCTGGTAAACAGTGCAAGTTCCCATGAGACTGCAGGGCAAGAACAGGGCAGGCTGCACACCGCGGGGAGAGGCACACCTCGTTCCGTCAAGAGACACCTGGGCCTGGTGCAGGCGCATTCTCCGTGGTTAACGGGTGTGAAATCGGCATTTATCATCAGTGACTTTTCATTGTGTGGCTTCTGTGAGTCCCCACCTTCCTTCTAAACCTCAGCAGGACACTTTCCCTTCCCTGTAGTTCAAATATGCGCCGCAACCTCAGCTTGATCTCAAGCTTTCTATTGCCATGTAAACAATCAGGGAGCCCTGGAATGGTGGGCTCCAGGGGTGGGTGGGTCAGGGCCACCCCCAGGGGTGCAGAGTCTGAAGGGGCTAAACTCCGGGCGGAGGCTGGGGGGCCTCAAAAGCATTTTCATGCAGGTGAGAAAAGGAAAATTTCCAGGGCATCTTGGCTGAAGCACAGAAGTGACTCCCGGAAGACCTGGCATGTGTGAGATGTAGGAGGGATGCTCTGTGCCTGCTTGTGTGTGTGCATGAGTGCGTGTGTGTGTATGTGTGTATGCGTGTACATGTGGTGGGTATGATGAGCCTCGGGGCTCCCTTTAGCATCTGCTGGTGAGTTTACTGTGCCTGCCGACCGTTTCCCAGGTCAGGCCTCCGCCCATGATAACTACTGTTTACCAAACACTTACTGTAGGTCAGTGACTCACATATGTGATCTCATTTCACTCTCCCAACAACCCTGACGTAAGGACTATTATCCCTATTTAACACATGAGGAAAGGGAGGTTTGAGAGCTCTGGTTACTTTTTCACATTCTGAAGCTAGGTGCCTCCACAGCACATGAAATGTTCTGCCGTCGTTCGTCTCCCTGGGACCATATGGAAACGGGGGCTGCTTCCCCTGGAGATCACAAAGGGCTTCTGCAGTAGAGAAAGGAGACTAAGAGCACCTTTCTAGACTTTTCCTTAGCATTCTTCAAGATGTACTATCAGAAGTTCAATAAAAACAACCTAATGCTGAGATTCATGGATAGAAAATTGACTCAACTTCCTGCCTTCCGACGAGCTTATTTTCTTCTTAGCCATTGTAAATTGGTGGAGCCGTGTTCCTCCTTGTCTTAGAAACTTTTAATGGTGCTGTTGCCCTCAGGTTAAGGTCTGGACTCCTTGTGGCTCTCCAAATCCCTCAGAGTCCTTCATTGTCTGAGCAGGCACACTCATCTTCTGTAGTTTAAAAGGTGGCAGTGGCTGGGCGCAGTGGCTCACGCCTGTAATCCCAGCACTTTGGGAGGCCGAGGCAGGCAGATCACCTGAAGTTGGGAGTTTGAGACCAGCCTGACCAACATGGAGAAACCCCGTCTCTACTAAAAATACAAAATTAGCCAGGCGTGGTGGCACATGCCTGTAACCCCAGCTACCCGGGAGGCTGAGGCAGGAGAATCGCTTGAACCTGGGAGGCAGAAGTTGGGGTGAGCTGATATCGCTCCATTGCACTCCAGTCTGGGCAACAAGAGCAAAACTCACTCTCAAAAAAAAAAAAAAGAGTGACAGTAATGACATGATCATTAAACATCTTTCAGGGAAGACTCTATGAGACCGATGTTTGCATGCTAAAGACAGGTGTTGCTGCCGGAAAGTGATTCGGTTTGAGGACTCAGGACTTGGGAACATCAGTCTCATCTCAACAGAACCCTTTTTTCAGTTCCCTGCTGTTTCCTGCACAAACTGGGGGAATGTGCTTGGCCTCCCTGGAGCTCGGATTGTCTAGCAGCTTGGATTGCTTAGTCCCCCTTTCCACACCTTCCTGCCACCCTGAGGGGGAGGCCTGATGGTTCATGGGCTTCCGCAGAAGGAATTTGCCCACTCTGCTTCCTAAAATGTGCAGCTGCATTTTGCTGCTGGGAAAATATTGATTGAAGGTCTGGAGGAGTCTGACAACTTGTAAGGCACATACAGTTTTTATCTGCAGGATGAAGTTAGTTTTTGTTTGGGCCTGGTGTTTTCGAAAGAAGGAAATCACTTTCATAAGCATCAGATTAGATCCAGGAAGCGTCCGCAGGACAATGAGAAGCTGATAGAGGCAGTGTCTCAGGATTTTGCCATTGGTTACTACCGCCACCTCCTGGCTGAAATTGTGAACTACACAGCATGGGCTTCCTGGGCAAACTGGTTTAAGAAAAGGTAGCCCCGTTTTCCCCATTTTCTGCAAGTTCTGTGTGGCGCAAAAAGGAAATGAGAAGACTTATTGTTTAGATAGAGTATTTATTGGCATATTTTATATTAACTGTGATGATAAAGCAGACACAAGAATAAGAAATAAAATCAGAGTGAATTTTTCTCATCTGAGGCAACAGGGAAAATAATTCATTGGAACAACCCTGTGACTCAGTGTTAGCTTTGCCCAAAATAAGTGTCAAGGCCCTTATCTGAGTTTCCAAGACCCCCTGCCCATTCTCTTAAGCTGACCTCTTAGCATATTGAGGGAAATCTACCAAACATTTTGGAAAATTAGTACAAAATTAAGGAATTAAAATGAAAATTGCAATATAAAAAATTATTGGGTCTGAGGCATGTCTTCAGGTTGTACAAGGAAAAGATGTAAGATTTGGTATCTCTCCTCTTCATTATTTTATATTGGTTTTATACATAAGCCCTCACCCTGTAGAAATATAAGTTCTAAGTTAGGAAAAGGATTATTTGTAACATACATGCAATACACATACATTGACAGAAATAGAAACAGGCTTTTTCTGTTATTTAAATAGTATTTTTGGAGTAGATTGGTTTTTCGTTTGTTTGTTTTTGAGACAGAGTCTTGCCCTGTCGCCAGGCTGGAGTGCAGTGGCGCGATCTCTGCTCCTTGCAATATTTTCCTCCCGGGTTCAAGTGATTCTCCTGCCTCTGCCTCCCGAATAGCTGGGACTACAAGCGTGTGCCACCATACCCAGCTAATTTTTGTATTTTTACTAGAGACAGGGTTTCACCATGTTGGTCAGGATGGTCTCTATCTCCTGACCTCATGATCCGCCTGCCTCGGCCTCCCAAAGTGCTGGGATTACAGGAGTGAGCCACTGTGCCTGGCGGATTGTATTTTTAAAAATTTATTTAGAGATGGGGTCTTGCTCTGTCAAGCAGGTTGGATGGAGTGCAGTGGCGCGATCATAACTCACTGCAGCCTTGACTTCCTAAGTCAAGCAACCCTCCTCCCTCAGCCTTTCCAGAGGACAGCAGCTGGGGCCTTCAGACAATTACGTTTCCTTAGTCGGACATCTGAGAGGCATAATTTCATGGCTACCACAGAAACTGAGAGCAAATATTACATTTCTCATCCCCCCTTGAAGCTTGGGTCTTGCTGAATATTGTTTTCATAAAGCAATCTGCCATATTGAAAAAGCCATGTAATGAGAAACTGTGTGCAACCTCCAGCCAACAGCTAGGAAAGAACTGAGGCCCTCAGTCTTCTCAGGTGGCCTACTGGCCAATATGTACAAGTTGTATATACAACTTCCAGAAGGGTCCTTAAAAGAAGAGGGCTATCACTTTCTTGCCTTCTTTTCTTTCTTGCTGGCTGGAATGTGATGATATCACTAGATCTGAAACAGCCATTTTGGACTAAAAGGCAGAAGCCACAGGTGAGGATGATGGAGTTACAAAATAAAAGAAGTCCAAGTCCTAGTGAACTGGGCCACCATGAACTTCCCAGGTTTACTGGAGAGAGAAATAAACCTCTAACTTGTGTATGTCTCTGCTTGATTTTCAGTTACTTATAACAGAACTTTATCCAAACTGAAAAAAATTTTACATTTTATATGTAAAGTCCGAAGTTTAACAGAGTTAGTATTTCCCAGACGATAAATCATGGGAAAAATAAAAGTTTAATTACCTAGGACTATTACTGGGAGATGATATTTGCTGCATATAGTGAAGGTGCTAGCAAATCTCCCCTTTTTGTTGCTAAGAGGGTGTTCCACTTAGTTAGCCAGGGCAACAGAAGGAAACCATTGATGTTCCTCACGGAGAAGTCTTTGAAAACAGCACATGAGACAGCAGCTAAGAGCGCCCCCCACCGCATTCCAGGCTAATAGCATTGGCTCCAGAGGCTAACAGGGTTTATTGAGTGAAGGGACCAAGGGGGAAACCAGCTTGATTTTAATTGTCTGTCTAGTCTGTTGGAAACTAACTTTCTCTAAATGAATGCTTTTTGAAGTTTTCAAAGCTCGAGAACATAATAAATATTACCCTTTGCTGGGTTTCCTCTTTGGCTATGGCACAGGGGGGTATTTTCTGGAAGGATATGGTTATCCTCTCTGATGACTTTCAAAATCTGAATTTAGGCTGGGCATGGTGGCTCACACCTGTAATTCCAACACTTTGGGAGGCCGAGGCAGGCGAATCACCTGAGGTCAGGAGCTTCAGATCAGCCTGGCCAACATGGTGAAACCCCATCTCTACTAAAAATACAAAAATTAGCCAGGCATGGTGGTGGGCACGTATAATCTCAGCTACTCCCGAGGCTGAGGCAGGAGAATCACCTGAACCTGGGAGGTGGAGGATGCGGTGAGCCGAGATCACGCCACTGCACTGAAGCCTGGGAGACAGAGCGAGACTCCTTCTCAACACACACACACACACACACACACACACACGAATTTAGCCTTCGAAACATTTCAGCTATTTTATCCATAACATTTTTTTTTTTTGAGACGGAGTCTTGCTCAGTTGCCCAGGCTGGAGTGCAGAGGCACGATCTCGGCTCACTGCCAGCTCCGCATCCCGGGTTCACGCCATTCTCCTGCCTCAGTCTCCCGAGTAGCTGGGACTATGGCGTCCGCTACCACGCCCGGCTAATTTTTTTTTGTATTTTTAGTAGAGGCGGGGTTTCACCTTGTCAGCCAGGATGGTCTGATCTCCTGACCTCGTGATCCGCCCGCCTTGGCCTCCCAAAGTGCTGGGATTACAGGCGTGAGCCACCACGCCCGGCCTATCCGTCACATTTTTAGTCCTCGCATGTATTCCCAATGTGTGGAAATTTCGTAAGTTTAGTAACTGTTCTGTAGGTTAGGAAGCAGCGTCACAGGAGTGATAAATGCCTGAGCCTGGAAACCCACCAGTCTGCTAGCTTTGGCTCTGCCACTCAACAGTTTGTATCAGCTTGGGAAAGTGCATAATCTGTGAGGCTATTTCTTTGTTTACAATATGGGATTAATAACAGTCCCTAGCCTATGAGATTGCTGTAAGAAGTAAGTTTTGGAATGCATAGAAAGTCTCCAGGGCTCAGGAGCGTGCTGGGTATGTTGTAAGTACACAGTAAGTATTAGCTATTATTATTTTTATTACTACTAATACCTAATTTCTGGTCACGTGCTATTCAATACAATATCCACTGGCTCCTAGTGGCCGTTACAAACTTGAAATGAAGCCAGTCCAAATTGAGATGGGCTGTAAGGATTAAATACAGACTGGATTTTGAAGTCTTAGAGAAAAACAAGAATGTAAAATGTCTTACTAATAATTTTAAAAATTATTTATTACATATTGAAATGATAACATTTTAGATAATTGAAATAAAATGTACTATTACAATTAATTTCACCTTTTTCTTTTTTTTTAAATGTGACTACTAGAAAATTAAAAATTTCCTCTGTGGCTTGCACATCAGGTATTTTTGGGATAAGGTCTAGACAGACAGATGGGGCAGGGGTGGTAAAGTGAACTAGGAAATCATGGTTTACTTTATCAGTATCTGGTGGTTATTAGGGGGTCAGAAGAAGGAGGCAGAAGTTTGGGGGAGGAAATCGATTTCCCAAGGGTATTGTGGATCCTGATATAATTGAACTCCACAGATGCTGAGTGAGGTCGGGGGTGGTCATGTGTGGGAGCAGCACTCAGTCACACGAGTCTGAAGAAAGGATGAAAATCTGGTGGTTCACACAATGGAAGTTTAGAGCAGTACAAGTGTCATTAACCTGGATCCAAGGTGGAGTTTAAGATCCAGCATGGAGCATATTGTTGATGAATAACCAATGGCAGGTTGTTTTCATGGACCTGAGAAAGGAGGCAGAAGTAGAGGGGTAGAAAATCCCCTTCCAGAGGCACTGCTGGTACCCAAATTCAATTCCACAGACCTTGATTGAGAACCTACTATGTTCCAGAACCTCTGTTAGAAACTGGTGAAGACCAGTACCATGCTGTTTTGGTTACTGTAGCCTTGCAATATAGTTTGAAGTCAGGTAGCGTGATGCCTCCAGCTTTGTTCTTTTGGCTTAGGATTGACTTGGCAATGCGGGCTCTTCTTTGGTTCCATATGAACCTTAAAGCAGTTTTTTCCAATTCTGTGAAGAAAGTCTTTGGTAGCTTGATGGGGATGGCATTGAATCTATAAATTGCCTTGGGCAGTATGGCCATTTTCATGATATTGATTCTTCCAACCCATGAGCATGGAATGTTCTTCCATTTGCTTGTATCCTCTTTTATTTCCTTGAGCAGTGGTTTGTAGTTCTCCTTGAAGAGGTCCTTCACATCCCTTGTAAGTTGGATTTCTAGGTATTTTATTCTCTTTGAAGCAATTGTGAATGGGAATTCACTCATGATTTGGCTCTCTGTTTGTCTTATTGGTGTATAAGAATGCTTGTGATTTTTGCACATTGATTTTGTATCCTGAGACTTTGCTGAAGTTGCTTATCAGCTTAAGGAGCTTTTGGGCTGAGACGATGGGGTTTTCTAGATATACAATCATGTCATCTACAAACAGGGATCATTTGACTCTTTTCCTAATTGGATACCCTTTATTTCCTTCTCCTGCCTGATTGCCCTGGCCAGAACTTCCAACACTATGTTGAATAGGAGTGGTGAGAGAGGGCATCCCTGTCTTGTGCCAATTTTCAAAGGGAATGCTTCCAGTTTTTCCCCATTCAGTATGATATTGGCTGTGGGTTTGTCATAGATAGCTCTTATTATTTTGAGATACGTCCCATCAATACCTAATTTATTGAGAGTTTTTAGCATGAAGGGTTGTTGAATTTTGTCAAAGGCCTTTTCTGCATCTATTGAGATAATCATGTGGTTTTTGTCGTTGGTTCTGTTTATATGCTGGATTATGTTTATTGATTTGCATATGTTGAACCAGCCTTGCATCCCAGGGATGAAGCCCACTTGATCATGGTGGATAAGCTTTTTGATGTGCTGCTGGATTCGGTTTGCCAGTATTTTATTGAGGCTTTTTGCATCGATGTTCATCAGGGATATTGGTCTAAAATTCTCTTTTTCTGTTGTGTCTCTGCCAGGCTTTGGTATCAGGATGATGCTGGCCTCAGAAAATAAGTTAGGGAGGAGTCCCTCTTTTTCTATTGATTGAAATAGTCAGAAGGAATTATACCAGCTCTTCTTTGTACCTCTGGTAGAATTCGGCTGTGAATCCATCTGGTCCTGGACTTTTTTTTTGTTGGTAGGCTATTAATTATTGTCTCAATTTCAGAGCCTGTTACTGGTCTATTCAGAGATTCAACTTCTTCTTGGTTTAGTCTTGGGAGGGTGTATCTGTCAGGAATCCATCCATTTCTTCTGGATTTTCTAGTTTATTTGCGTAGAGGTGTTTATAATATTCTCTGATGGTAGTTTGTATTTCTGTGGGATCAGTGGTGATATCCCCTTTATCATTTTCTATTGTGTCTATTTGATACTTCTCTCTTTTCTTCTTTATTAGTCTTGCTAGTGATCTATCAATTTTGTTGATCTTTTCAAAAAACCAGCTCCTGGATTCATTGATTTTTTGAAGGGTTTTTTTTGTGTCTTTATGTCCTTCAGTTTTGCTCTGATCTTAGTTATTTCTTGCCTTCTGCTAGCTTTTGAATGTGTTTGCTCTTGCTTCTCTAGTTCTTTTAATTGTGATGTTAGGGTGTCGATTTTAGATCTTTCCTTCTTTCTCTTGTGGGCATTTAGTGCTATAAATTTCCCTCTACACACTGCTTTAAATGTGTCCTGGATATTCTGGTATGTTGTGTCTTTGTTCTCATTGGTTTCAAAGAACATCTTTATTTCTGTCTTCATTTCGTTATTTAGCCAGTAGTCATTCAGGAGCAGGTTGTTCAGTTTCCACATAGTTGTGTGGTTTTGAGTGAGTTTCTTAATCCTGAGTTCTAATTTGATTGCACTGTGGTCTGAGAGACAGTTTGTTGTGATTTCTGTTCTTTTACATTTGCTGAGGAGTGCTTTACTTCCAATTATGTGGTCAGTTTTAGAATAAGTATGATGTGGTGCTGAGAAGAATGTATTTTCTTTTGATTTGGGGTGGCAAGTTCTGTAGATGTCTATTAGGTCTGCTTGGTGCAAAGCTGAGTTCAAGTCCTGGATAACTTTGTCAACCTTCTGTCTCATTGATCTGTCTAATATTGACAGTGGGGTGTTAAAGTCTCCCATTATTATTGTGTGGGAGTCTAAGTCTCTTTGTAAGTCTCTAAGGACTTGCTTTATGAATCTGGGTGCTCCTGTATTGGGTGCATGTATATTTAGGATAGTTAGCTCTTCTTGTTGAATTGATCCCTTTACCATTATGTAATGGCCTTCTTTGTCTCTTTTGATCTTTGTTGGTTCAAAGTCTGTTTTCTCAGAGACTAGAATTGCAACCCCTGCTTTATTTTTGCTTTCCATTTGCTTGGTAGATCTTCCTCCACCCCTTTATTTATCAAGTGCATCTCTCTGCACGTGAGATGGGTCTCCTGAATACAGCACACTGATGGGTCTTGACGCTATCCAATTTGCCAGTCTGTGTCTTTTAATTGGGGTGTTTAGCCCATTTACATTTAAGGTTAATATTGTTATGTGTGAATTTGATCCTGTCATTATGATGTTAGCTGGTTATTTTGCCCGTTAATTGATGCAATTTCTTCATAGCATTGATGGTCTTTACAATTTGGCATGTTTTTGCAGTGGCTGGTACCAGTTGTTCTTTTCCATGTTTACTGCTTCCTTCAGAAGCTCTTCTAAGGCAGGCCTGGTGGCGACAAAATCTCTCAGCATTTGCTTGTCTGTAAAGGATTTTATTTCTCCTTCACTTATGAAGCTTAGTTTGGTGGATATGAAATTCTGGGTTGAAAATTCTTTTCTTTAAGAATATTGAATATTGGCCCCCACTCTTTTCTGGCTTGTAGGGTTTCTGCCAAGAGATCCACTGTTAGTCTGATGGGCTTCCCTTTTGGGTAACCCGACCTTTCTCTCTGGCTGCCCTTAACACTTTTTCCTTCATTTTAACCTTGGTGAATCTGACAATTATGTGTCTTGGGGTTGCTCTTCTCGAGGAGTATCTTTGTGGTGTTCTCTGTATTTCCTGAATTTGAATGTTGGCCTGTCTTGCTAGATTGGGGAAGTTCTCCTGGATAATATCCTGAAGAGTGTTTTCCAACTTGGTTCCATTCTCCCTGTCACTTTCAGGTACACCAATCAAACATAGATTTGGCCTTTTCACATAGTTTCATATTTCTTGGGGGTTTTCTTTGTTTCTTTTTATTCTTTTTCTCTAAACTTGTCTTCTCACTTTATTTCATTAATTTGATCTTCAATCACTGATATCCTTACTTCCACTTGATCGAATCAGCTATTGAGGCTTGTGCATGCATCACAAAGTTCTCATGCCATGGTTTTCAGCTCCATCAGGTCATTTAAGGTCTTCTCTACACTGTTTATTCTAGTTAGCCATTCATCTAATCTTTTTTCAAGGTTTTTAGGTTCCTTGTGATGGGTTAGAACATGCTCCTTTAGCTCGGAGAAGTTTGTTATTACCGACCTTCTGAAGCCTACTTCTGTCAACTTGTCAAAGTCATTCTCTGTCCAACTTTGTTCCATTGCTGGTGAGGAGCTGCAATCCTTTGGAGGAGAAGAGGTGCTCTGGTTTTCAGAATTTTCAGCTTTTCTTCTCTGGTTTCTCCCCATCTTTGTGGTTTTATCTACTTTTGTTCTTTGATGTTAGCAACCTACAAATGGGGTTTTGGTGTGAATGTCCTTTTTGTTGATGTTGATACTATTCCTTTCTGTTTGTTAGTTTTCCTTCTAACAGTCAGGTCCCTCAGCTGCAGGTCTGTTGAAGTTTGCTGGAGGTCAACTCCAGACCCTGTTTGCCTGGGTATCACAAGTGGAGGCTGCAGAACAGCAAATATTGCAGAACAGCAAATATCACTGCCTGATCCTTCCCCTGGAAGCTTTGTTCCAGATGGGACAGCCACCTGTATGAGGTGTCTGTAGGCCCCTACTGGGAGGTGTCTCCCAGTTAGGCTACACATGGGTCAGGGACCAACTTGAGGAGGCAGTCTGTCCGTTCTCAGAGCTCAAACACTGTACCGGGAGAACCACTGCTCTCTTCAGAGCTGTCAGACAGGGGTGTTTAAGTCTGAAGAAGTTTCTGCTGCCTTTTGTTCAGCTATGCCCTGCCCACAAAGGTGGAGTCTATAGAGACCATAGGCCTTGCTGAGCTGCAGTGGGCTCTACCCAGTTTGAGCTTCCCCGCCACTTTGTTTACCTACTCAAGCCTCAGCAATGGCAGACACCCCCGTCCCGCACTCCCTGCCAGGCTGCAGCCTTGCAGGTGGATCTCAGACCGCTGCGCTAGCAGTGAGCAAGTCTCCATGGGCATGGGACCTGCCGAGCCAGGCACGGAGAGAATCTCCTTGTCTGCCAGTTGCTAAGACCATGGGAAAAGTGCAGTATTGGGGCAGAAGTGTCCCGTTTTTCCAGGTACAGTCTATCACGGTTTCCCTTGGCTAGGAAAGGGAAATCCCTTGACCCCTTGAGCTTCCCAGGTGAGGTGATCCCCGGCCCTGCTTTGGCTCGCCCTTTGTGGGCTGCACCCACTGTCCAACCGGTCCCAGTAAGATGAACCAGGTACCTCATTTGGAAATGCAGAAATCACCCATCTTCTCTGTCGATCATGCTGGGAGCTCCAGATCGGAGCTGTTCCTATTCGGCCATCTTGGGATGGACCCCTCAAATAGCTAGCATCTTGAGATGGACATAGTGGGAATATTTATACCATGGTAACTGGAAAACACTATAAATTTCTAGAAAACCTGTTGTCATACTACCAGCACACCACTGTGACAGATACAGCAAGGAGAACACAGGAATGGATAGAAGGGTTGGGCATGCTTTCTCTGTTTACCATTTAGAACACTGGGGAAGAGGCTATGCAGGGACTTAGGCCAGTATGCAGGGACTTAGGGGTGATCCAACATGGTGGTGTGAGACAGTTGAATACAGAACGAGTCTACTTAACACTCTCAACCCTATGTTGATTCTTATATGGCATAAATGCTGAGTGGAAAGTCAGTGAGTCTACCATAGGGCCGACTGTGGTAAGATGAGGGGCTCAGTCATAGAGTCTGGGCCACGGTACTCAGCCTCAGTGGTCTATTGACCAGTGGGAGCTGAGAGAAGACAAAGTCAATGGAAAGCCCATTGGGAAAGAATGGGCACAGGTTTGTGATGCACATACATCATCAGCAGACTGGCAGATTCAACAGACAAGATCAAGTCAACTCTACTATACTGCCAGTCTACTATACTACCATACTGCCAAGACAAGCAAGCAAGGAGCTGCGGATAGTCCTCTGTCCCCCCGCTCTTTCATCCCACCATCATGTGGTCATGAGAGGCTTCCTCCCCCATGTACCAGACACCACCTTGGAAGGAATGGGCATGGCAAAAGGGCATGGAGATAGCATTCCCCCAAAAATGAGTACCAAAGAGACTATTTAAATTATTGCATCTAAGGTTGAAAACCAGTCTCTATATTAACTATCTTTCCTTTGCCCGTGATAGGTGGGAGCTCAGGAGGAAGACCAAGCCAGTAACAGACCAAACCTAAAGAGAATACATTTTCTTCTTCCTGACTGGTAGTATAAATATGCAACCTAGTGACACATGTAAAGTAAACGAAGAGTATAACTTGTGCTTACTCAAATGTATAATTCATGAGGTTATTTTTTGAATACTCAATCATCCTTTGCAAACTGAAGTTTGGCTTCACTTTTATTTTTCAGATGGAAAAGAGGCTGAGATTTTTGTATTTGAAGAATTTAAAGACAAAATGACTCAATTTTGGGTGTCCTTCCAGGAGGTGGGGCTTTCCTCTCAGGCTAATAAGTCCACAAACTAAATTTTTATCATTTCTCCCTAGAATAACCAGAATCAGAGGAAGTCGGTCATTTAAGTCAAATTCAGGACAGGCCAATTGATAAAAGGAGAATACTGAGTTCATACAGTTTCTGTGAAATATGTAACTGACAGTGGACTGGGATGTTCAAAGTTACAGGATGTTAGGGCCAAAGAGATACTTTGAGATAATTTAGTCCAAGAAACAGACCCAGAGAGGTAAAAACACATACTCAGAGTTAGGCAGCTTATCGATGACAGGACTGGAACTCCAACCCTGAACCCACTCACAATTTTATAGAAAGACTCCAGGATTTGACACTGCACCTGCCCTCCTCCTTGGCAGGAGTTCATGTGAGAAACCAAGTCACAACTGGAAGGCTGCTTAGTGATCCCAGAATTAAAACAAGAACCTTAATTCCACTTGGTGAACAGACGGGAATTCTCCTGTGGGCCCATCTTTCAGATACACAAATTCTGGCTCCTCTGATTCTCGTTTCCTAAACTCGGTGAAGAAAGACCACTGGGTCTGTACATGGATCATAAAATGCTTAATTAAGGTATGCTATTTTTGGGTTAAATGCTGAGCCCAACACACATTCTTATTGGAATATAAGTACGTCCCAGGTCATGTGATAGTTCCCATTGCCGAGTATTTATTTGCTGTAGATGTGTGATGTGACGTGTTGTGCTGAGCGCTTTGCATAGTCTATCTCTTTATCCACAGTCTTGCAAGCCATCTCTGAAGACCACCTTCTAACATGGTCTTTTCCCCTTGTCTGTGACCCTTTGTCTGTGCAGGGCCATATAGCTGCTTAGACATCCCACCTCTTCTCTTTCAGCCCGCAGGATCCCCATACATGTGATTTTGGAGAGCTAAGAGGGCCCTGGGAGCACATGGGACTGAGCCTGGCTCAGCCAAGTTCCTATTTACCCTCTTAACGTGGATTTCAGCCTCTGTGTTGGCATGAGAGTCCGTCTGGTAAGCTGTTTTCTACAAGGAGAGGGCAGAATAGAGGCACTGACTAAAAATTGGAAACGTTTAAGAGAAATCTAATCTTCCAGGGATACAAACATAATGCTGTGTGTAAGCAATCCGGATTTATTGTCTAAACCTGAAGGCTTGTAGCCCTGCGGGCCCCTTCATAAGAGGAGATGGCAGGCAAATCACCTTGTGCTGCCCAGGAACTGTGAGGGAGGTAGATTAATCGTGTAGAAAAGCTACTGCGGCAGATGCTCACGGGGCAGCTGAGCTGTCAAAGAGCTACTGGAAAACTGACTGAAAAGGGAGGCTTACAGGGGAAAATGACAAAGAAAAAAAGACAGAAAACCTGGCTTGGATCCCAAGACAGCGGAAGGCGCATTCAGACAGGCTGGCCTTTTGACCTTCCTTGCCTAGTCTGACCATTAGGAGCAGAAGATGTGATTAAAGTACCTAACAATTTACTAGAAGACTTCACACTTCCTTCACCAAAGCTTCTCTTTTCAGAATGTCTGTTTTCATTTCTTAATCAATGGTTGAAATAAAAAAATCCACAAAGACTTTTTAAAATGTGGTAAAATACACATAACATAAAATTTACCATCTTAACCATTTTAAGTGTACAATTTTAAAAAACAAAGCAGGGCCGGGCGCAGTGGCTAACGCCTGTAATCCTGGCACCTTGGGAGGCCGAGGCAGGCGGATCACCTGAGGTCAGGAGTTCAAGACCAGCCTGGCCAACATGGTGAAACCCCGTCTCCACTAAAATGCAAAAATTAGCTGGGCATGATGGTGGGTGCCTGTGATCCCAGCTACTTGGGAGGCTGAGACAGGAGAATTGCTTGAACACAGGAGATGGTGGTTGCAGTGAGCTGAGATTGCGCCACTGCCCTCCAGCCTGGGCGGCTTAGCGAGACTCCTCTCAAAAACAAACAAACAAACAAACAAACAAAAAAGCATTTTGAGAAAATGTAAAGAATGCTTTTGAATAAGTTTTTATTATAGTGTCAATGTCTGTCAACATTTCAGGATCAAAGAAATTTGAATAGGCTTATACAATAGTGAATGCTTTGTAAAAAATATTAAATTATAGGGAAGGGCTTCAAGTATTAATTATTCATGGATCCATTTTCTTTTCCTTGCCCAGTAAGGAAAATAAGCTCAGAATGAACTGTTTTTTTTTTCTTCAGTTAAAGCAATTTTAATTTAAATATTTCAATTTTCAGTACTTTACATTTTGGTAAAATATGTAGAACATAAATTTACCCTTTTTAAGCATTTCTTAGTGTTCTCTGGCATTAGGCACGTTCACATTGTGTAACCATCACCACTATCTCCAGAACTTTTTCATCTTCCCAAGCTGATCTATTTTTTTAAGATACAAGTTGCATCCGTGAATTTAGAGTCCACATTTTCTTCTTGACTATATTTACAGTTGTTCTAATGTTGTATGTAAATATGTGCTTGTTTTAATGCATGCAGTTAAAAATGACTTCAGGGAAGGAAGAGGGAATAATATCCACTGAGTCCTTACCAAGCTTGGCACGTTACATATTCCACACAACAATCTGGGAGGCAGAAATTACTAGCCCATTTTACAGATGAGGAAGCTGACACATAAAAAAATTAAGTAGCTTTGCCTAAGGTCACACAGCCAGGACATGATGGAGCTGAGACTCAGCCCCTCTCTGGTTTTCACGGCAACATGCCCTCAGGTTTATACCACTTTAAGAAAAGCAGGAAAAGAAAGAAAAGAAAAAGGCATAAGGACGTGGGTTACATGCAATTTTAGGACTGTACGATTGCTATTACTAAAGATACCACCGAAGAAAGTATGGGTTTTTCTTTCTTGGGAATTTTAGAGGTCTCGGTGGTCAGTTCTCCTACTTAAGGTATCCTTTGACTGAAAGGACTTCTAAAGGTTTTCTGTAATTTGTGGTTGCATGAAGGTCACCCCATTGTTACTTGTGGTTATGAAACAGTGACAATAGGGACTAAGAAGAGAAAGGGGCAGGTATAGAGAGTGTGTGGAATGCTACGGCAGCAGGGAGGGGTCTGGGCTGGGCAGCTGCTCCTGCCATTCCTGCTCTTCTGACAATATGATATCTGAGCACAGAGCGCTGGAGGAGGGAGGGCGGGAAAGGAAAGAGATGGCCCCCACATGCACAAAAGGACAGGTGGGCTCTGTACGTCTCACCCTCCACAGAGATAAGCTGGAGGCTGCGGCCTCATTTCTAACTGAATTCCGCTACTGTCTCCAGGGCCACTCCTTGGGAAGACCTAGTTAGAGCCATATAATGATATGATATGAGCCAATGTTTGTCAATCTCTGTGCTGCACATGATATGGCCATTGTCTTGTCATCATTTCTGTTTAACAGACGAGGAAACAGATGTCTCATGGTCTGTAGGTGGCAGAGGAAGGACTTGAACTGAGGTCCATCTGTACTCAAGCCCCAGCTGGTCTCCACCACGATGGTCTGGTTGTCTAGTGTTGAAGTCACCTACATGGGTACTAAACCCGGCTTCACCAATGAATACCCTGTAATCTTTTGTTGAGTTTCAGCTTCCTAATATTACAAATAATGAAGATTATAGTACCGACTTTGTGGGACTGCCATGAAGATTTAGTAAAATTACCCAATCTTGGCCAGAATGTTACGGCTTGAGTTGTGTGCCCCTCCAAAAGGTATGTTGATGTCTTAAGTCCTAGTGCCTTAGAATGTGACTGTATTTGGAAATAGGGTCTTTAAGGGGTCATTAAATTAAAATGAAGCCATGAGGGTGGGTCCAAATCCAGTGTGACTGATGTCCTTGCTAAAAGGGGAAATTTGGACACCGAAACCGACAGGCACATAAGGAAGATAAAGCAAAGACACACAGCAAGAAGGCGATGAGAAGTGAAGGATTGGAGAAATGCATCCACAAACCAAGGAGTGCCCGGGGCTCCCAGAAGCAGGAGAGAGGCAGGAGCAGGCCCTTCCCTCGCAGCTTCAGAGGGAGCATGGCTCACCCAGCACCTTGATGTCAGACTTCTGGCCTCCAGAGCGATGAGACAATACATTTCTGTTGTTTAAAGCTACACCTTTTGTGGTACTTTATTGCAGCAGCTCTGGGAAATTAATACAGCACACAATCCAATGTTCTTGTTCTTCCTTAGGCCATTCATTCAACTAATATTTTAAACCAAGTGCTGGGGATTTGTTCAGAGGTTCAGAGGTGAACAGATCCCGTTTCTGCTCTCAGGTGGCTCATGTCCTAGTTAGGGACACAGACACATCAACAAGCAATGATAGTGGAGTGTGGTTGGTGTCTTGCCATGGGCAAGGCAAGGCCAGGGTGCTTCAGGGGCTTCAAAGAGGGGCCCTTAAATTAGCGTGGGCATCAGAGAAGCACAGCTGCTTCGAGGGAGTGATATCCCAAAATGATGGAGTAGTCGTTTTATTTGGAAAAGAACACGCCTGTTATGGTGCAAGGGCGTTAATGACTTTTTGTTGTTATAATTGAACAAGGACAGTTCCAAGTATATATAAAAAATGACAGGAATAAGCAAGATTAGAAGGGAAGCCAATGTGTTTGTTTCACTTAGCAGTTCTGCCTCCAGAATCGCTTTTAGCTGAGATGTTTCCTGATTAAGGCTGGGGGATGGTTGGTAGTGACAAGTCGAGGTTGAGTAGGGTGGGGTCCTGATGAGATCAGGGAACATCTATCCACAGGAAAGACTGATGTCTTCTTAAGGCAGAATACTTAGCCCTCTTTCATCAACATGTGCCACATGGCAAGAAAAGATTCCAAAGCCCTTGCTGCTGGGTAAAGTTGTGTAGCTTGTGGACTGCACAAGGACCCCTGACCAAGGGGAGAGTGGGGACTGAAATCCAGCATATGCTCCCTTGCCCAGGCTGCGTGTCTTGGGATACCTCTTTGTTTTGCACAAACATACCATCTGCTTACTCAGTCATCTGCCACTGACTCAGGTTCCACCCAGAAAGGGCACCTTTTTCTAATTCATACAAGGTGCCATCTGTGCAAGAGGTAATTCCAAGCATGGTCTTTGGGTCTGGCTGCATGAGGCAGCATTTGTTTCTTTTGAAACAAAGGCCATTCTACCAGTTGGAAGTCTGCCAACGAGTCCCTGTTACACAATTAGAGCCTGGTTCTCTGGCAACCCTCATGTGTACTCCCACGGCATTAGCTAAATTACCACCACCCAGTTAACTTGCTAGCCTGCACTCGTACTCTATGGCTTTCAGCTTATGCACCTGAAGTCAAGACCATATGTGGTTTTTATGGAGCCAGAAAGTTAGGGATGCAATAAAGCTCTAAGTAACTGGCTAATAAATGTTAGTTATATGTTTCGTCTGGGTTGCTAGGACAATCCTCTACAAATTCTATTTTGTCGTATATTTAAACACTGAATACTTTGTACATTACTTTGAGCTTCCAGCTTCTTCTCCTTTAGTCTCCCCCCCTCCCCAGTTTGCTTTGGGAATGAGGTCAATGGATGTACTGTGGGGGTTCGGGGGTGTGCTCCAGTCCAGAATATGAACAGACAACAGGTTCTTACACTTATCGTCTGGAGGATCGCGAGCAATGCAGCCTGTCTGTTGTCTGGAGGATCGCGAGCAATGCAGCCTGTCTGTCTGAGAGCAGAGGGGAAAACAACAGTATAGGAATAGTGCAGGTGTTACAATAGTGCGCGTGGCCTTCCAGACGGCAGTGGGGGGAACAGAAGGAGCTGGGGTGGGGTGCTTGGTAAGGAAATGGGATCCCCATTCTGGGGTGGCTTCAAGGGAGGGAAAACCTGTTCACCAGGGAAATAGGAATTTCTTCTGTGTCAACAGTCTGTGGGTTCATATGAAGACATTTCAGCAATAATAACATAATTAAAAATCACTGACTTACAACCCTACATGCATGTTACAGAATCTTCAGTTTCTCCTCACTCCCTACCCTGCTTATTTCTGGAAGCCTCATGTCAGCTCAAGAACAGTTCTTTCCCGTTTCACCCTTTAGCTCCCTCTTCCTGGGGCTGCTGTCCAAGCCGCTTCAGGTACATGAAGACAGAGTCTCTCTGCTCTGGTGTGCACCGGGGTGGCAAGGGGCCTGGGTCTATGCCTTGCTGGCCTTCCGTCCTCTGTGTTCTGGGTCCCCTCAGGTTCATGGAACAAGCTATGCTGTGCCCTACCCTCCTGCCCTTATGCCACCTTGCCACCGGGACCCCATGAAATGCTGCAGGTGCCCTGGTATTTCTCCAAATCCCTTATAAAGTTAGCTCCTAGCTGTTGCTTCTCTCTGCAGGAGGCTCTGCCACAAAACCAAGGGGCTAGGGAGAGAGCTGGGACCCCAGGCCATTCCTCCCACTCTGCCTCCGCCCCCAGGAGCTTGTCCACAACATGTAGGCACCAGGACCTCCAGTGTCCCAGCCAACCTTCAAGGGCCAGCATGTTCCCTCCTTCTACCGTGAAGCCAAGCCACGTGTCCTCCCCGCCTCAAAGCCCCCCACAGTGCTTTGTTCTTGTCTTGTGCTGCTTACCATGGTTTCTCCATCACAGGAGATTTTTGGTACTCTTCTTCTTCCCTTTTCCTAAAAGATAAGCTGAGTTTGAATTGGGATTATACTATATATTATTTATTTTTTATATTTGATGTATTGTGCTTAATACAATGCTCAGCAAACCGTAGGTGCTGACTAAAGATTTACGAAGGGAAAGAAGAAAACAGTGAAAAAGCCAGATTATGCTTATGGCACATTCACCCAGGTGGGTTTGACAGTGAGTGACCAAAAGCTTTTGTGGAAGAGCATGAACAAATCATGAAACTGACTAGTATTCATGATCCCTTTTTGTTCTGTGCTGTCATCATTGAGTTAATGTAACTGTCATTAGCCTACCTTTGTTTTTAGCTCATTTGCTGCTTGAGTTAACACATTCTGCAAGCCTGCAACTAAAACCATGAAGTGTTTCTTTATTATATGGTGTCTTTCCAAACAGCCAAGCAACATTAGGTAGAAAGAGCCTGGATTTGGAGTGAGACAGAATTGAATCCTGGCTCACTGATGGAGCTCACAAGCCTGGGGAACCTTAGGCCAGTTCCTCAATTTCTCTAAACCCAGACTTCCTCTTCTATCACGTGGACCATTGTGTTACGCACCCACAGGCTGTTCTGGAGATGAAGTATTGAGATGCAGGCCGAGCACAATGCTGGCGCAGAGAGCCTGCACAAATCGTTGTTAGCTTTTACACAATTATTATTATCATGGTGGTTGTTCTGCCTTCTCAGATGTTATCTTTCTGCACTCACATATATTAATCTTTGTAGTTTATGTGGAAACCTTATTGCATCCCCTTGATTATGTCAATGATGTTCTCTGGCTCTTTCTTGAATTTTCTTCTACCACTTCTGAGTGAAGAAAAGGAAAGAAATGATATGATAAAGTCTTCGGTGGCAGGGATATTTTCTGTTTTTCCACCCTTGGGTGGGTTTCAGGGAAATCCAGAAAAATACCAGCTGGCAGAAGGTATCATTGTTTTTGGCTAAAGGAACATTGATACATACCCTTTTCCACAGAAGTGAGGAGACCAAACCACTGGAGGAAAGGAGGTGGTTTTGTGTCACATGTGAAAAGAAAGCTGGGCGCAAGGGGAGAAGAATATTTCAGGCCAGAGCATTTGAATGCAGCTGAAGGCTTCCGTTCCACACTAAGTAACTGAAGACATTTACAAACTAGATGAAAATAACTCTTTTATAAGCCCTATAGGACCCCTGCTTGCCTGATAAAATGATTGGAAAATTAGGTAGACTAACTTGTTTTGCTGATTGAGAAAAATACGGCCAATTCAAACCTGCAGTTGAACTGTTGAGATAATAAACTCCGCCATTCTAACGAGTCTGGGTTGTCATCAGGATGTGGCCCTTTCTGTTCTCGTGCTAGCTATTTTGGATTATCTTTCCTGAAGGCAGACGTAATTGTTACATTTGCAGATGTCACATTTAGTTATGCAGGCATTGGGTGTGTGTCTTTGTGTGCAGGAAACAAGTTTAATTAAAAAAATACACGTATTTTCTTTTTTTTTTTTTTTTTTGAGACAGAGTCTTGCTCTGTCACCCAGGCTGGAGTGCAATGGCATGATCTCCGCTCACTGCAACCTCTGCCTGCCTCCCGGGTTCAAGTGATTCCCCTGCCTCAGCCCCCTGAGTAGCTGGGATTACAGGCATGTGCCACCACGCCAGGCTGATTTTTGTATTTTTAGTAGAGACGGGGTTTTACCACGTTGGCCAGGCTGGTCTCGAACTCCTGACCTCAAGTGATCCGCCCACCTCGGCCTCCCAAAGTGCTGGGATTACAGGAGTGAACCACCACACCTGGCCCACATTTTCTTTCATAGGCCCTTTTGGCCTGGTTATATTGTTTCTGTTTGGGGGCCAGAAAGGTGTATCCAAATGTTTTCCTTAAATTCTTTTCAGAGTTCATGGCCCAGGGAACATGCCCCCATGCCAGGTCTAATAAAACTAGCTACACTTAGAAGAAATCAAGATGCCAAGGGACCATCTCAGGACCCAGAAGGGAATGTGGGCTTATGGGTGAGGGCTGGGCTTCTAGGATTGTTTGCTCTGATGATGTAGGAGGATGGGAGAGGTAAATTAGGAAAAGAGGCTTTAGCACTGCAAGTGAACACCCACCTTAACATAATAATGACTTATTTTTATTGAGTGACGTGCCAGGCCCTATTCTCAGCATTTTACATGCATTTTCTCATTAATTCTCACACTGTCTCTACAAGATAGGTACTATTATTATGGTCAGCACCTACAGATGAGGAAACTGGGGCTTAGACAATAAAAGTCACTTGCCCAGTGAACAGCTAGGAGAGAATTAGAACTTAAAACTGGCCTAATTCGAGACATGATCTGGACATGTCCTTTGGCCTAGTTTGAAACATGCCCTTCCTCTCCCTTTACCCCTTGGCAACTTCCCCAGTTTCCACTTAAGGATATGTGTGGTTCCAGTGGGAATAACTCTGATCCAGGTCTAGGGGTGGGGCATGTGACATAGGCTAAGCCAATCAGGGTAGGGTCAAAGTGATTGGTCAGGATGTTACTGAGCCAGCAATGGGCTCACTGCCTAATGTGCATTGTGGCCAATCCCACTGCACTGGCTTTTAAGAAAAGAAAAGGTTTACTGCAAGTCTACCAGCAAGGAGACAGGAGGAAACACTCCAACCTGTCTCTGCAAGTTGGAGTTTAGGACAGGTTTTATAAGCATGGGGTCATGAGGCATGATCTGATTGGATTTTGCAATGAGGTGATGCTGGGAGGCATAATCTGATTGGATCTTGCAATGAGGTGATGCTGGGAGGCATGATCTGATTGGATCTTGCAATGAGGTGATGCTGGGAGGCATGATCTGATTGGATCTTGCAATGAGGTGATGCTGGGAGGCATGATCTGATTGGATCCCGTCATGGGGTGATGCTGGAAACTGATATGATTGGATCCTGGATCCTGACATGCCGTGTTCACTTCTTAATTAAGTTCCCACTCCTCAGTCTTGCACTGAGGTCCCCCTGTGGTCGCATACTTGGTTCATCTGGGCATGCTCGGGTTACATAACCTTCAACCTGGAGTCCACGGCAACCGAAAAACAACTCACAACTTTATCATATAAGAGTTGAGCCAGATTGGTCTGCTGTGGTTACAAGGAGAGGTCATGTGACCCAAGCCATTCTAATCAGAATGAGTAACAGGGTTTTGGGATAAAGGTCTCTTTTGCCTTCTGTACTGTGGACAGTGTGGATGTGAGGTCTCCAGCTACTGAAATGATTTGCTATTGTGGGACAGACTGTCTGAGGGTAAAGGCAATATTCCAGGAGACCCGAGGTGGAAGAACTGTGGAGAAATGGAGGTGAAGAGCCGATGATGAATGAACCTCAGCAGCAAACGCTGGCTGACACCTAAACCACCCTGGGACTCAGTAGTCATGGGAGACAACCTAGTCCCCTATGCATAAGCCAGATTCAATTGAGTTCTCTGTTCCTCATAGCCAAAACGTTCTAAGAGATGCGATCACACTGTCCTGAGGGGCTTTATCAGCATTCTGCCTAGACTCTAGCCTGACAAAGCTTCCCTTGGGCACTGGAATGTTCCTCAAAAATATTTTTTAAAACGTTCTATACGTAACGATGGAAATTGCCCTCAAAATATAAAGAAGGGCTGGTGGGCACTCCAATGTCTGAAGCTGGCTGATTTTCATAATAATTCCTTAATTGTGGCAGCACTGCATCATCCTGAACCAAGCTGTTTTTTTTTTTTTTTTCTTCAGAAGAGTTTATTGAGGACACATTTTTGGAGTTGTTGATAGTGATTTTTGAAACAGTAGCAATTCTCTTTACAGGAGAAGTCAATTTAGTTTGATAGATTGTCTGGGCACTTTGACCCCACCCCAGCCAGTAACCACACAATGGCTAGCCTGAGAGGGCTCGGCTTGGGGTCACCCACCTCCCCTGACAACCCTGCTTCCTGGGCTGGCCCTTTCAAAGTCATCTTAGTTACTACATCCTGCCAGAGTGTTAAATAATGACAGACTCTAGCGTTTCTCCTAGCAGGGCTGTTCGTATTCCAAGAGGAGACTCCTGAACATTGAAATATGTTTTCAACTTGCTGGAATAAAACTAATGGTGAAATTTAAGGCCCATGACAGGACACTAAGAAAAGACATATTCTGGGACAAAGAAACATTTTTTTTTCTCTCAAATCATGTCCTTAGTGAAACGGCTGTGTACTTGTATATTCAGCTATGACTAGGATAGTCTCCATATATGGAAATTCCAGTTTAACACAAACCTATAGCATCTGAAACTTTCTCTCTCCCTCCCTCTCTCTCTCACGCACACGCACCCACACAGTCAATTTAAAGAAGAGGGCAAAGGGATTGGGAAGGGACTGGCTGAGTTCCACCTGTGTCTTTGGAAGGCTGTGACAGCTGTCTTGTACTGTTAGAACATGTGCGTACACAGAGTCTAGCCAGGGACTTTACTACTTGTGGTGATGGTTACTGAAAAGGGAGAGAGGTGAATGTCTCAAGCTAGAGGGAATGGCCAGGGGCAGGAATCATTTGCTATTCTTGTGCGTAACACCGTCACCCCCATGTACGTTCAGAGGTTTGCTCCTGAGCCTAGTATGACCACGCACGTCTTTTCCCTCGAGCATTATGGGCCTAGGCAAGGACGCTGCTGCAATTTTGCCTGCTCATAACCCAGAAAACCTCAGATGCTGGTTTTAAAGTTTGACAGGCATTTTTGACCTGCTATTCTAGGTGGTTTACTGATGTATAAACAGTGATTAATAGCAACTACTGTTTTTTAAACTATGGAATTTTTTTCTCTTTTAATCTCTAATATAGTGGCATTTTTATGAATGATAGTGTCAACTCACCCACCTTACTCCAGCCCCTTAGCAGGAGCAAGAGGGCCAGCAGGGACACTGGAAGGACAGGGGCGTCGGATGGTGAAGGGGCTATGCAGCCCACCATGCGATCAGTGCATCCCAGGAGAGAAGACGGGGCCGCAGAAATGGCTCTGGAAGTAGCATGGGCAACATGCTCATTTACGGAGAGCATCGTAGAAGACAACTTAAGAACACAGCACCTGATACACATTAAGTGTTCAGGAGTTATTCCTTGCATTCATTAATGAATGCAGTAATGAACGCCAGCATATGCTGAGGTCAAGTGTAATCATGCTTTGAGGGATGAAGGTGAAATGAATGTTTGGATAAGCGAGAGTATGATGTCCCTATTCGTGAGGTTGCATCAGCTTCTCGGCCCTCATGGTCCAAGGGTGGGGGCCTGCCCAGGAGAAGCAATGGCACATTTTCCCAGTGTTCTAATTTTAGCCAGGCTGTCACCCTCCTGAATTTCTTGGAACTGCTTATGCTGCACCAGCATCCGGCACTGTATCTGGAGGAAATGACTTTTTAACTACAGCATTGTAGTAAGATTCTTTGAACAAACCACAATGAACAATGGTGGCCAGCTTTCTTTATTCTTGGTAACTGTGAGGAAGCACTCCTAAAAAGTTGAAAAGCAGGTGAGTCTGGTGGGAGGCGACCAATTAGAGAAAAAGGATGGACCCTCAAGACTGCTTAAGGACTGCCAAGAGGCTCCTTAGAAACAGATACATTCGGGGACTTCATTACATCTGTGGAGTCTGGGGATGTCTGGTCCTGGGACTAAAATTAGCAGCTGCACTCTTTGGGGGCGCTTCTTTGTAGAGCCTCTCTCTGTCATCAGCTGCTTCTCCTCCCACAGTAGGTTCAGTCAGAGGAGCTTGGAGGTCCCACGAGATGCAGCTGGCTGTGATTTTTGCTACAGGCCACAGTCAGGAGCACATGATAGTAGCATTGGCACAGGCCACGGTGGACCGTTTTTCAGTGTACAGTTCCAGCAAAACCTGGTATTCTCCCTGCAAGGGGCACAGGTCAAGTATTAGACGTGTGACCCACAGTACAATTAACCATTTAACAAATATTTACAGAGAAACTTTTATGTGCTGGGTGCTGTTCTGGACATTGTGGATAACGTAGAACAAGACAAGCCAACCCCTGCCCTGTGGAGCTGACAGCATCTCTGGGAGAGACAGACCACCCTTATGATATGTGACTATGTATGGTGTGTCAGGTGCTCATGTCATGGAGAAAACTCATGCAGGAAGGGAGTGGATGGAAGCACTGGATGGGTCAAGGCAAGTGCTGGTCTGCAATTTTGAGCAGGGTGGTGAAAGGAGGCCCTGCTGAGACGACGACATTTAGGCAAAGACCTGAAGCAGATGCAAGAAGGTGCAGTGCTGCTATGGGCTGGGGCCCCCACCTTAGAGGGGCAGAAGGAGGCCAGTGGGGCTGCAGGGAGTGGGGGGATGGGGGGGGTGAGGTAAGGGCAACACAGGAGGCCAGACTCTTAGGGCCTCAAAGGCCATGGTGGGGACATCAGCTTCCACTCTGAAAGGGACTCTGGTCAGGAGAGGGTGGCCTGCCCTGGCGCCTGTGTCGGTAAGATCCCTCTGGCTGCCTCACTGAAAAGCCCAGATGGGAGGCGATTGCAGGAATCCAGGTGAGAGATGAAGATGACTTGGAGTAGAGGTGGAGGTGGGGGAAGGCTTTGGGTGCCAGAGAGATTTTGAAAGAACAGCCAATAGGATCCGCTGAGGAAACGCAAGTGGGTGGGAGAGAAAGAAATGGGTTAAAGGTGACTCCAAGGCTCCTGGCCTGAGCAACTGGAAGGAGAAAGGTTTGTATGCTCAGACAGAGAAGACCCCGGGGAGCACAGTTCACCAGCACAAAACCAAAATGCACCATCACAGAAAGAATGGCTGCCTTTGGGGATCCTTGCTGGCAGCAACACTGTAAGGAGGTCTCCCTTCCTTTGCAGTCAGCTTGGCAGAAGCCACCTGGCAGCCAGGTCCTATGAGGACTGTAGAAGAGCCATTCTGGTTTTGTTTGCTGCCAGCACCCCAGTCCTGCACCCCAGCAGCCACGGAGCGGTGATGTGTTTGTAGACACGAATCTGGAGAGGAAAATGCTCTGGGGTGGTTGGAGGGTCGCAAGCGGAGCAGAGGGACTGTGGCAGAGGAGGCCAGGAGACTGCTGGCACATCTTTGAACTGCCTGTCACCCAAAGGAGGAAAGAGTTTAATCTGTATAAAGCAAGAGGGAAGGAGTAGGTGAGACCACCGGAGAGAAGCTGCATGAAAGGTGGCTTTTGTTAGAAGGGAGCAACTTTCTAGCAATGAGCAGAGCTTCCAAAGAGAGTGGAGTCCCCAACACTGAAATTGTATTCAAGAGAACCAGGCTGTGCTCTGGATGGTGCCTTGGGTGTGATTCCATGATTCTAGACGCTCCCATGAGTCACACTCCTCAAATATTGAGCAGCTGTAATTTTAGAAATAGTGTTAGGAATATAACCAAAGCAGTCCAAATGTTAGAGAATTAATTATGAGTAAAGACCGGCTCAAATTTATATCTCGTTGTGTTTCATCGTTCTCTTCCTCCTCATGTACTTTTCTTTAAAATCTCTATGTGCATTTAGACACACACCTACAAATGTATTGAACAACACAAGAATTTTTCATTACTACATTATGAACCTAAGAGGAGCTGTTGTATTTGAAGGAAGGGGTTCTAGATTATGAATTACAGATATCACAGACTCTGGTATAAGAGATAAGAATATTTAGGCAAGCGTGCCAGGCTGGAGGCAGATGGAGGTGTGTGCTGGGAGGCCAGGAGGCCAGGGTAGGGAAGGACTGAGTGCAGCGTTTCTGCTGTTGAGGAGGGCACAGAGTTTGTAAGTTAGGAATTTGTAGGTGCACCTTTGGCAATACATGGGTCAGGCTGTGCCTACAAGTTGTTGTCCACATGCTTCGGGAGCCCAAAGGATCCCCTAAATTTTCATTCAGAAAGCAGGAGGCATAGACAGAGGACAGCAGGTAGGGCTTCAATCCGGGCCAAGGGGTTGGATGAGTTCAGAGGGAAATAATACCAAGACCCTGGAGAATGATCGCTGAGTGGGAGCGTTTTTGGCCACATGGGAACTGCCATTAGCCCAGAGCCCATCTCTGGAGGATTTAGCTGGAGGAGGGGATATGGGGTACGTCTTTTACAACCAAAAGTCTTTGAACTGTGTCTGTTCCATATTAAGAAAGCAAAGCCTCCGTGCATTGCGGGCCAGCCACGGCTGACCTGCAGCCGGTGTAGGGAGCCCATTTTGGGATTAAGGCCTCCAGCTCTCTCTGCTGTACATGCGATGCCCTCACACTGGGCAATATTTGCTTGAGTACCATCAGCGGTTGAAGAACTTACGTTCTGCACTTCCTTCATGCACTGTAGGTGATTAAAATAAAGCTTTTTACTTATCTGGTCAACCTTTTTCCTTTTTTTTTTTTTTTTTTTTTTTTTTGAGATGGAGTCTTCCTCTGTTGCACAGGCTGGAGTGCAGTGGTGTGATCTCGGCTCACTGCAACCTCCGCCTCCTGGGGTCAAGCGATTCTCATGCCTCAGCCTCCCGAGTGGCTGCGATTACAGGCGTGCACCACCATGACTGGTTAATTTTTGTATTTTTAGTAGAGATGGGGTTTCACCATGTTAGCCAGGCTGGTCTTGAACTTCCAACCTCAAGTGATCTGTCTGCCTCGGCCTCCGAAAGTGCTGGGGTTACAGGCATGAGGCACTGTGCCTGGCCTCTCAACTTACTTTCAAAGGGGTTTTCTGACTTTAAGAAGTTCTTTTCCCCTCTATCTTATAACAGTTGCTGAGTAACTGGTTTAAAAAGAAGCCAACAATGCAAAAGTGAAAGTCAATTGTTAGTAAATTTTAAGTCAGCCTCTAGTTGGGAGGAGGGTCAGAAGAACAATGGGGAAAGAAAAACAATTCAAATAGCAAAGATTTAAAGAAAAATGGAACTCTCTGGGAGAGTTTAGGGCCCTCATACTAGAAGTGAAGACAGGTGTAGTTTTTCTTTCTTGCAAAACTTTTGTATTTTACTGAAAGGCCTGAGGAGGAAACTAGAGATTTCCAGAGGGAGAGGGCTGGAGACTTCCCAGCTGCAAGAGCAATGATAGTGGGAATCTGAGATGGTAGCAAGATGGCACTCTGACATAGGAACACAGAGGCTGGGAAAGAAAGGAAACAAACCCAGAGGTGAAACTAAGTTAGAGATTCTTTATGGAGAAAGAGACCTTTTTCTTCAGCCAAATACAGGTTTTGGAGAACTGAAAGGATGAGGTTGTAAACAAAACTATTTAAAGTGATTACATTTTTGTAATTGCACCCCCATGCTTATTGCAGCACTATTCACTACAGCAAAGACATGGAATCAACCTAAGTGTCTATGTATGGATGAATGGATAAAGAAGATGTGGTATATATACACAATGGAATACTATATGGCCATAAAAAAGAATAAAATCTTGTCATTTGTGGCAACATGGATGGAACTGGGGGTCATTATCTTAAGTGAAATAAGCCAGGCACAAATACAAATATTGTTTATTCTCAATTATCTGTGGGAGCTAAAAAACATGATCACATGGAGATAGAGAGTGGAAAGATAGATACCAGAGTGGGGAGGGAGAGGATGAGAGGGAGAGTATAAAGAGAAGTGGGTTGAAGGGTACAAACACACAGTTAATAGAAGACATAAATTCAGTGTTTGATAGCAGAGTAGGGTGACTATAGTTAAGAAAAATGTATTCAGTGATGGACATCCTAAATACCCTGACTTGATCACTACATATTACATACACATAACCAAATCTCACATGTACTGAATACATCAGCATGCATTTTAAAAAATCACATTTTTGTGATCCTTTTCATATTGTTCCATAAGATTCTCTGAGGGGCCTGTAATCCCAGCACTTTGGGAGGCCGAGGCGGGTGGATCACGAGGTCAGGAGTTCGAGACCAACCTGGCCAATATGGTGAAACCCTGTTTCTACTAAAAATCCAAAAATTAGCTGGGCGTGGTGGCATGTGCCTGTAGTCCAAGCTACTTGGGAGGCTGAGGCGGAAGAATAGCTTGAACCTGGGAGGCAGAGGTTGCAGTGAGCTGAGATCATGCCCCTGCACTCCAGCCTGGGAGGCAGAACAAGACTCTCTCAAAAAAAAAAAAAACCATTATCTGAGGGGTAGCATATTGAACATTTATTGCTTATAGCAGAGTGATGTAAATTGAGTCATTTAATAATGTCACATTATCTTGAACAGAAAGGAATTAGTGGAAAATTCTACTCTTAGCTGTGAGCTTTGCCAGCAAATGCTAAGGATGTGGGCATTTTATTGACTTAGTGGCAGCTTATGAGTAACAATGAAAGGACAGTAACTGGAGGACCTTCATGCCTTCATGGCTTGTGCATCTTCCTTTCTCTGAACCGCCAGCCTCCTGAGCTCGGTCCCAGCACATGCATGGTGCCGCCCACACAGCCCAGCAGCACTGCCATATGGAACCCCACAAATGCCGTAATCCTGCTGGACAAGACGCCGGCATCCCTCTCAGTGGGAGGTTTGTACTCGGAGGATTCCCTAAGGTTCACTGACATGTAAAATATTAAATGCCAAAATGACAAAGCCAGTGTGTCAAGAAATTTCAAGTGCCCACTCTGAAGCAGCAGTTTTATTAAGAAAGGGTTTTTGCAGGGATGGCCTATGGATAAGTTTTAAACTGTTTAATTCTTTCCTTCTCTTCTTTCTTGGTTTCTCCTCCTTTCCCTCCTTCTAGCCTTCTTCTTCTTCTTCAAGAAACAAACTATTTAATACAAGAAGTAAGTAATATCTTACCTGAGGAATAGTAAATTCAGGATTATTGACAGGCCCAGCATAGTAAATCTGCTCTGAAAAAATATATAAAGCATAGATGATGTTATTCAATCATTTAAAAAAATGATTCATTCACATGATTTGTGGTTACACAGATGTGTGACAATTATTGGCACCAAAATAAGAGCAGCTATTGCTAGAAATGTTTTCATTTCCTGATCTACACCTACCATTCATTCACTTATTCATTCATGCCACAAATATTGGTCGGGCACCTTCCATGTGGCAGGCCCTGGGGATCCTTGGATGAAAAAAAGAAGTCTCTGTCCACACATTGCTTACATTCTGTTAAGGTCTGGCTATGTCCCCACTCAAATCTCATCTTGAATTGTAGTTTCCATAATTCCTGCATGTCATGGGAGGGACCCAGTGGGAGGTAACTGAATCATGGGGGTGGATTTTACCTGTGATGTTCTCACGATAGTGAATAAGTCGCATGAGATCTGATGGTTTTATAAAGGGCAGTTCCCCTGCACACGCCCTCTTGCCTGCCACCGTATAAGATGTGCCTTTGCTCCTCCTTTGTCTTCCACTATGATTGTGAGGCCTCCCCAGCCCTCTGGAACTGTGAGTCTGTTAAACCTCTTTTTCTTTATAAATTACCCAGTCTTGGGTGTTTCTTCATAGTGGTATGAAAATGAACTAATGCATATTCTACTGAGGAGAATGATGATTCAGAAATAACTAAACAAGACGATATCCAGATTGTAACAAGTGCTGGAAAGAGACACCAAGTAATATGAGAGAGGCAGGAGGGTGTGGTGGGGGAGGGGCCAGGCTGGATCCAGGTTACTCAGGGTTAAGTCCCAAGATTAGTTGACTGTGGACAGTTGTTATCTCTTTGGGCTCAGTTTCCTTGTTTTTTTCTTTTTTCCAAGATGGGTAAGATAATGACAATAACAGTAACTACTTCCTAGGGTGGTGGGGAATTAAAAGAGGTAATCAATAAACAGCACTAATAACAATGCCTGGGAAGCACTCCATGAATACTTGCTAATGCCAGGAACTGGGAGGCACCATGTTCCACAGGGTGGCAGGTCATGGAGGCGTCTGTAAGGAGGTAGCATTTGAGCCAAGTCCTGAAGGAGCAGAATGGGCCAAGCATTTAAATAGCTGGGGGAAGATCATCTCAGAATAACAAAATAAGGACAGAGGCCTTGATGTGGAAAAGAGTTTAGGAAATTAGGAGGATAGAGGGAGATGAGTCTGCTGAAGCACAGTGAACAAGAGGAACTGTGTTGAGAAGAGCTTGGAAAGATTGAGGGGTGACAGATATTTCAGGACCTGCAGGAAATGGTAGGGAGTTCAGATTTCATTCCAGAGGCAGTGGAAATGTGTTAAAAGTCATGTCAAAATAGCTAATTTATGTTTTGCAGAGACATTCTGCTGTGTAGAGAATGCAGAGGAGAGGCCAAGTGTGAAGGCTCTTCTGTGGCCAAGGTAAATGATGGATTGGTGAAGGGTGGTGGTGGTGGAGGTAGAGAACACGAATGAGATCACAGCTGTGTTGGGTGATAGCACCCACTGATGAGTGGGTATAGAGAGTGGGGGCCAGGAAGATTTTGGTTTGAGCATCTGGATAGATGGGGGTGCCATTTATTGAGATTAGGGAAGCCTGATGAGGAAGTGTGTGTGTGTGTGTGTGTGTGTGTGTGTGTGTGTGTGTGTGTATGTGATGATTGAAGAGCTCTATTTCTGGGAGATGGTTAATAAGAATCCTTGGAAGCAGTTGGCTATACAAGTCTGGAATTTTAGGGAAAAGGTAAGAATGGAGCTATGAATATCAGAGTTATTAACATGTGGTGATTAAGCCATGGGACAGGATGAGATGCCTCCCTCACCCAAAGGAGATAGAATTAATCAACAGAGGAGAGGACAGGACCTCCTGAGGCCCTCCAACATTCAGAGGTTGGGTTGAGGAGAAGCCAACCAAGGAGACTAAGAAGAGACGGTCAGTGGAGTGGATGGTAGTCAGAGACTGAGGGATCAAGGAAGCCAGGAGGTGAATGTTTTTCAAACAGGAGGGTATTGCCAGCCATGCTGAATGCTGCTGCTGAGAGTCTGAGTAAGATGAGAACAGAACTGTGCAGTGGATTTGGCAACATGGAGGTCATTTGGTGACCTTGACAAGAACACTGGAGAGATGAGTACAGATGCCTGAATGGGGTGGACTGAAGAGAGATAAGGAGGTGAGGAATTAAGAGTTTTGTTATAAGAGGGAGCAAAAGAAAAAAAAAGATAACTGAAGGAGAGTGTGGTATTAAGAATGGCTTGTTTCTTTGTTCGAGATGGGAGATACTGTACCATATTTGTTGTTCCAAGGGAATAATCTTGTAGAAAGAGAGATTGAAGATGCAGAAGAGGGAATAACTGAAGACATGAAGGGTTTAAGAAGGTGGAAAGGAAGGCTATTAACACTCCCTCCTGCATTTGAGAGAAGCATGAATATTACTCCCACAATTGTAGGAGAGAAAACAGAGCAGAATGAGTTCAGGTGTAGATACGTTTGTAGATGGGCCAGTAAACCAATAGTGGGGCTCCTGACTGATTACTTTCATTTTTGCAGTGAAGGTCACAGACAGGTAGGGGGCACTAGATGGCGAGTGCCTGTGTTGTGTTGAGTAGCAAAAGGAGGAATACAATATTCATGGACAGTGGGGAAGAAATCTACTTGAGAAATACAGTAAGATTTCTAGGCAGTGTTGAGTGCTTTTTTTTGAGGTTTGTGGCCATAAATTTAAAGATACTCCAGTTAGCCCAGATGTATATTTTCTTAGAGACATTCAGCAGCTCTGATGCTACTGAAGGTCAATGGTTGGGTTGGAGTTTCACTGGATAAGAATGAAAAGAAGAGAAAGTGAAGGCTGTTGGGTTAGACATAAGGAAAAGATTATAATAATATACCGTAGAATCTATGGCGAGTAAGGAAGAAAGTGAAGGCAGGAGGGAATTGTTGATTGTAACAGTGGGGAAGTGAGTTGAATGGAGTTTCTATTATTGCAGTCAAGGTGCTAGAATTGGTGAGCTGGCAGGATATGAGGAAGCCACATGGCAGAGGGCTTGGCATTTAGATTTCAGAAAGGGTGCATTTTTACAGGCTGTAAGATATCCAGGGTTGACATAAGAGATGGTGGTTGAGGTGTAAAGATGGAAATGGTTGTTGGAAGTAAGGGGGTGAAAGAACTGAGACATCATGGTGCTTGGTGGGCCATCCACATCAGTATTGAAGTCAGCAAGAAGGATGATGCCTTGCCCAGCCCCTCAGTGATTACTGCCTCCCCTGTGATCCCCCAGCACTGCAAACTTTGTGTATTCGAAGCATCGTGGCTAAGAGCACACGTCCAGGGGTCAGACTATCTGGGCTTGAATCTGAGCTCTTTTTTCTATTAATTGGGCAAGTTACTTAACCTGTCTGAGCAGTACATGTAGGCACTGTAACTAATATGTGGTTACATATAGAGGGTTCAGAGGGACATCCTGCCCGGGGTTCATTTGTCATGCTGGTGCTTTGCCCAGCCTGAGGATGCACCCCTTGCATTGCAATCTATGCTAATGGTGCCCCTAACAGATATGCACTGCAGTGGTTCAGCTACTGGAACATGATTTCGTTTTTGGAAGTTATCTTTTTCCCAGTAGATACTCTCTGACCCAAGCCAAGACAATCAGAGCAGAGAGACAAAGAGACCCCTTCCCAATCTGTTCTGGCAAGAGAAGCAGAACTCATCAGTCTCTAGAGCTGCCCACTTTCTGCCTGGTGTTCCAGCTTTCTTGCCAATTCTGTGACTCCTAAATGTCCTTTCAAGAAATTCCCTTTGCTTTTGTTGGCTGGATTGGGTGTCTTCTGCTTGCAACTCAGGATGTGGCTGCTACGGGCATGAACAAGCCAAGAGCACTCCTGCTGGCTATCAGGGTTTGGACACAGTGTGGCTCAGGAGCAGAATCCAAGAACAAGGACTGGTGTGCCATCCCTGTCTGATCTGGCTGGGTTCCCTTGGGCATGTTTATACCTGCTTTATGCAGGTATATTCTACAAATTGTGCAGGTATATTCTACAAATTCTACAAATTGCTGTAGGGTGGCACAGCCTCCTTCCTTCCTTCCTTGACCTAGGAAGGAGACAGACTTGGGTTTGAGACCCAGCTCTCTGACTCACTAGCTAAGTGATGTTGGGCAATTTGCTCAGCCATCCTGCAACTCAGCTTTTGTGCTTGCAAATCGAAATAGCAATGCCTCCCCATAGAGCACTGAGAGGACTGGAGAACTTGTGTGTAAAGCCGCTGAGCAGAATGTGGTCCCCAGGAAGGGTAGAAATGGCAATTAGTTATTAACTATATTATTATTTACCCAGGTGTGAAAAACAGTAACAGAATGGACATTCACTTGGTGGATGCTGAAATACGCAATGAGACTAGGTTTTGGAGCTTCTTGCTTGAGCCAGTGTATGTAACTTCTAAGTTCTGTCTGTGCCTTTTTTTTAAACTTTCGTTTTAAAAAATGGATGAGTATGACTCTTTGAAGAACAACACTCTAATGATACCTAACATTTTGTTATGCTTATTTAATGCTCCCGGGGTTTGCTCATTTGTGTTCTTCACCATTAAGAGGTCCTTCACTGGGCTGAGAGGTTTTCATTAAATTGGTCTCTTACAGTTTACAGTTTCAATTGGAGCTTTTTTGGGGGCTCATGAAGTTCTTGAGGTAACTGCAAGTAACTCATGAAATTGTCTTTTTTTTTAACCTGATAAAACAACACCTAAAATTAAATTTTCACTCCATCCTTTCTCAGATCCTCTCCAATTCTGAGATTCCTTTAATTAACATTCTCACACTCCAGGACTATAAAAAGAGCCCCAGTATATTTGCACCCATTTCTTCCGTTCCTTTCATGTGCAATCTTTATCAGTTTTTAATGTGCAGTGGATTAAAGAAATTCACCTCCCTGGTTCTGAACACTTGAAGTCATTTCTGAATATCAGCTTTTTTTTTTTGACCCAGATCTTTGGGTGATTGTCACTGAGTGTCTTTTTGAAAAGAAAATTGGTTTTTAAATTGTGGAAATAAAAGGTCCCAAGGGTTTTGGGTGACATCAACTTGATACGAGGGCCTGTGTCTTCCTTTTTTTTTTTGAAACAGGGTCTGGCTCTGTCACCCAGGTTGTGCAATCTCGGTTCATTGCAACCTCCATCTTCCAGGTTCAGGTGATCCTCCCATCTTCCCACCTCAGCCTCCTGAGTAGCTGAGACTACAAGTGCGTGCCACCATACACGCCTAGTTTTTTGTAGAGATGGAGTTTCACCATGTTGTCCAGGCTGGTCTCCAACTCCTGAGCTCAAGTGATTCACCCACCTTGGCCTCCCAAAGTGCTAGGATTACAGGCCTGAACCACTGCACCCGGCTGGTCCTGTGTCCTGGTCTGCCTCTTTTTGTTCTCAATAACCAGCGCAGATGCAGCCTGCTGACTGCATGAACTCTTTTAGGCAACCCTCTCCCCATTTCCTAGCCCTTGCTAGGATCTTGCTGGAATTCCTGCCGATTTCCCAAATTTATTATAAAATGTACATTAATGCTGAAGCATTTTTAGGGTGCTTAACAGTATAAAAATGCTCAAGAGTTATAATTATGATGCCTAGGCCAATTGGCATATCCAGAACAAATATTTTTGTTTAAAAAATCATTCATTCATTTACCTAGCATTTTGAGTCCCTTTCCCACCTGCTGGGCCCAGTAGGGCAGGGTAGAGGGGAGGCAGTGTTCTTTTTTGCCCCAGTTATATTGAGAAATGATTGACAAATAAAAATTGTATATATTTAAGTTGTATAACGTGGTTAGCATATCCTCACATAGTCACCTTTCGTGTGTGTGTGTTTGTGTGCACATGTGTGCCTGCACGTGTGTGTTCGTGTGCATGCATGCATTTGTGTGTGAATGTATGTGCGTTTTTGTGTGTATGCATGCTTGTGTGCGTGCATGTGTGTTTGTGTGTAGTGAGAACACTGGAGAGCTACTCCGTTAGCAACGCACAATACACTGTGATCAACAGTAGTCACTGTGCTGTACGTTAGGTCTCCAGAACTTACTCATCCTCTAACTGCAAGTTTGCACCCTTTGACCACCATCTCTTCCTTTCCCATGCTCCCTAGACCCTGCCAACCACTCATCTACTCTTACTATGAGTTTGACTTTTATTTTTGGATTCCACCTGTAAGTGAGATCATGCAATGTTTGTCTGCCTTATTTCATTTAGCATAAGGTCCTCCAGGTTTGTCCACGTTGTTGCAAATGGCAGAATTTCTTTCTTTTTTAAGGCTGAATCATATTCCATTGTGTGTATAGACCAAATTGTCTTTATCCATTCATCTGTCGCTGTTGTTTTTACATCTTGGCTACTGTGACTAATTCTGTGAGAAATTCCCACTGTCGGTGGGAATGTAAATTAGTACAGACACTGTGGAAAACAGTGTGGAGATTCCTCAAAAAATTAAAAATAGAACTTCCATATGATTCAGCAATCCCACTTCTAGGTATTTATATATCCAAAGGAGATGAAATCAGTATCTGGAAGGGATACCTGCATGCAGGGAGGCAGTGTCAACCTGGGAGGATGCAGCCCTCACTCTCCCCTCCAGGTGAGGCCAAGAGCAAAGTGGGAGGAAGCTCAGAGTCTGTGATGACATCTGGTGAATGGAGGACCAAGGTGAGGGGCCAGAGGACGAAGAGGAAGGTGGGAAGGATGTTCCAGACCAACCAAGAGCATCGTCTCCGGAGGAGGAGGAGGGAGGGAGTGCATGGCTTCGTTCTAGTGAGCTCTGGATACAGTCTTTATTCCTCTCCTTACCTCTGGGTATTTCCCGAGAGAACCAGATCTGGAAGATGGGGAAGGCCCAGGCACTGCTTCTCATCCCATCCCCTCTGATCTGAAGCTTTGCTTTCTTCAGTTTCTGACCCTCGAGGATGTAGTCCTTACTGTTCCCTTAAGACTTGGAGCTGGTAAGTTAGGGCTCTCATTTAAGGTAATAACAAACTTGCCTTGGAGTAGGGACTGATAAGAATGTCCACTGCCTTCAGGGCGAATGTCACGGTAGCTAGATCCCAGTGGGCCTTAAAGGCTGGAGGTTTCTTCAGGTTTCCATGGATTCCAGGCAGTGTGGGTAGGTAAGCTCCAAGCTAAGCCAGGCCTAATTGTAACTTTTTAGTATTATTTTTCAGTGTGTCCTAATTTGGCATCTCCTCAAGCTCCCGGGCCATTCAACTCTTATCCTCTGAGCCTCTGAGTCCTTTGTGTCTCCCCTGGAGGGGTCCTCCCGGGACTCTCAGTGCTGCAGGCTTGGCTGCTCCATTTCAGAGGGGGTTCTTCCAGTTCTCCCCATACAGTTGCACAGAATGTGCCTGGCTCAGGGTTAAGTGGGATCAGAAATCCAGCTGTGCCCTACTGGGTCAGGGCCTGTAGCCAAGGACTGGGCTGAATCCCAGCAGCATATGCTTTTAGGGGTCGGGGCCACATCCTCTCAGCCCCTGGTGGAATCCCGGCTGCTGGAGTGGGCATCAGCAGGGCCTCTGACATTACTCCATGTCAAGGGGCTGCCCCTCTGCATGCTTTCCTGCTTCAGAGAAGCCCGTGAAGGGCAACTGGGAAGTGCAGGGATGTGAACTCCTGAAGCCTCCTGACCCTGAGAAGGACAATTCTGAGGCACACGCTGCGGTTCCCCAGGGGTTGCTGAGGGATGGAGCCCTAGCTCCCTGTGCTGGTAATCAGCTCCCTGATGCATCTCTTACTGGCTTTCCCCATCACCCTGGCTTCCTGGCACCCCAGCCCAGTGTACAACCCACCCCCAAGTCCTTGAACCTGGCTTTACTTGGGGGTACCCCAAACTAGAAACACTTCCTGGCAGAAGGTGCCCCTTTTTCTAATGTATACCAAGACCATGGATGAGCTAGTGGTGGCCCTAGCCACCTGGCTGCTGGTACGTTTGCACCTGTTTCTTGTGATGGAACCACCTAGTTCAGAAATGGTACCCGAATGCCCTGGAACCTGTTCCTTGACTTTTATGCCAAAGACCAGGAATGAGAATTTTCATGCCCTGGATTATCTCTTTGAATTCTCTGAATCTCACACTCTGGGAGAAGACAGGAGCTGAGTGACAGGGACAAGAGGTGAAGATCACAGCTGTGCTCCAAGGGGAGGAAGAGGGTATGCGAGGAAGCCTGTGAGTTTTAGAAAAGAGGGACTGGAGGAAGCAGGAGGGGGGCACGGTGAACTCTGTCTTTGTTTTCTTCATTCAGTTGGATGGAGAGTTACTGTCCCTGAATAGCGCACAAGTGTCCAATAGTGCATAAGTAGAATAACCTATAATAAATCAAGTTAACTCTAATAAAGTGGATTTGAAAACTTTGGGACTCTTTGGCAAGTCAAATGGCCGTTTGTTGGAGGATTATTTCTGTTGCTCCACAATTAGAACTTGCTCAACTTTATTTCTAAATGTTACTTGGGGATGTCCAGCATATTTGGTCTCACCCCATTGGCTGTGTGAAGGGTCAGCGTGTTCTGGGAATAGTTGCTGAGGTGTTTTTGGAATCACAAGTGTACTTGAGAACTCATAACTGTATAATGTGAGTTTGGATGACTTTTTCTATACATAAGTTATCTTAGTTTTGCTTCCAGCTAACTCTACTTTGATATCTCTCCCTGTCCGTTTGACGAGGCATGTGAGATTTTATTTTACGGCCTTTCACTACCTAGAGAAATTTAATGTTATTTACAACTTGAAAACATTCACTGTGTACTTGTAATGAATCATTTATAAAATTAGAATTTTTCCTGGGTTTCTTCACTCATGGTCCTCTCCTTAGGCCTCTGCAATGATTCAGAGATATACTCATCTCTACCCTCCTTTTCTTTTTCTTTTTTTTTTGTTTTGTTTTGTTTTTAGAGAGAAATCTCACTCTGTTGCCCAGGGCTGCAGTGCAATGGTGTGATCATAGCTCACCACAGCCTTAAATTCCTGGGCTCAAGTGATCCTCCTGCCTCAGCCTCCCAAGTAGCCAGGACTACACCACCATGCCCAGCTAATTTTTAAAAATTTTTTAGAGATGGGGGTCTTCCTATGTTGCCCAGTCTGGTCTCAAACTCCCAGCTTCAAGAAATCCTCCCTGCCGCAGCCTCTGTAGCTGCTGGGATGAGAGGCATAGCCACTGCACCCAGCTATCCCTGCCCCCTCCTGCCTTTTTTTTTTATTTTTATTTTTTTCCAGAGATGGGGTTTCTCTATGTTGCCCAGGCTGGTCTGGAATTCTTAAGCTCAAGCAATCTGTGCCCCTCGGCCTCCCAAAGTGCTGGGATTACAGGTGTGAGACACTGCACCCGGCCTCTCCCTACACTTTTTATTCCTAATAGAAGCTGGTTTTCTCTCCATGACAAACATGATGAAGGACTCCTTGCCATCTTACCATCTTTCTTTGCCAAGAATGGGCACAGCACATGGGCTGTCATTGACTCCTAGCCAAATCATTTCTCCTCTGGTTAGAGGGCATGCAGGTGGTGGTTTTATGGGGGAAGAGTGACAATAATGGCCCAATAAGGGAAGCCCTTGGGAGCAATGATACAATCTCCTAACAGAAAGACTCATCTCTTGCCTCAGATTTGTGAGCAAGCGCATTATCTGTGAAGTTCTCAGAGTTGTTGGACTTCTATGAAAGCATTTTAATTGAAAACCTATGGAGTTTGAGTTTTTCCCGTATTATACACAGTTTTGGGCCTTTTCACATGGCACACAGAGTTCAGCAAGGCATGCTGGTTTTCCACTTGGGGGTTGTGCAGGACCCCCCAAAAGTGGTCCAAATCATAATCCCCAGAAACTGTGAATATGTTACCTTATATGGCAACAGGAACTCTGCAGATGTGACTGAATTAAGGATTTTGAGATGGGTAGATTACCCTGTGTGGCCCAGGGGGGTCCAATGTAATCACAGAGGTCCTTATAAGAGGGAGGTAGGAGATCAGAAGGAGAAGGCCAGGTGGAGATGGAAGCAGAAAGTAGAGTGATGCCACTACGGGCCGAGGAACGCAGCAGCCTCTAGAAACTGAAAAAGGCGAGAAAGCCGGCTTTCCCTGGGCCTCCAGAAGAAACACAATTCTATGATACTTTGATGCTAGCTTTCTGATATCCAGACTGTAAGAGAATCAATTGATGGTGTTGTCAATGGCTACGTTTATGGTGATTTGTTACAGCAGCTATAGAAAGCTAATACAGCGGCCTTGGATTAAGAAAGGAGGGACCAGGTGATGAGCCTGAGAAGGGACAAGGCTTGTGGCTTGTTTGTATTTGTGCTCACCACAAAGGGCCCTTCAGAACCATGACACGGATGTAACCTAGGATTTGAGCAGAAGAGAAAGTGCTTGGGTTTAGGGCTGGGCCAGAGAGTAGAATTTCTAACATAAACTCACAAACGAACTCAGGATGGACTGTTAAAAATACTTTAGAGCTGAGAATGATGATTTCCAGTTTCATCCCTGTCCCTACAAAGGACATGAACTCATCATTTTTTATGGCTGCATAGTATTCCATGGTGTATATGTGCCACATTTTCTTAATCCAGTCTATCATTGTTGGACATGTGGGTTGGTTCCAAGTCTTTGCTATTGTGAATAGTGCCGCAATAAACATACGTGTGCATGTGTCTTTATAGCAGCATGATTTATAGTCCTTTGGGTATATACCCAGTAATGGGATGGCTGGGCGCATGTTCTCATTCATAGGTGGGAATTGAACAATGAGAACACATGGACACAGGAAGGGGAACATCACACTCTGGGGACTGTTGTGGGGTGGGGGGAGGGGGGAGGGATAGCATTAGGAGATATAACTAATGCTAAATGACGAGTTAATGGGTGCAGCACACCAGCATGGCACACGTATACATATGTAACTAGCCTGCACATTGTGCACATGTACCCTAAAACTTAAAGTATAATAATAATAAAAAAAAATAGAGCAGTATAGATACTACTAGGTCAGATCTGTGCAATAGAACATTCCACAAAAATGGGAATGTTCTGTGTCTACGCCATCAAATACAGTAGTCACCAGGCATGTGTGGCTATTAGGAGCTTGAAATATGGCTGGTAGGACTGGTGCACTGAATTTTTAATTTAACTTAAATGTAAATTCTTCAAATAGCCACATGTGACTTGTGGCTGTCATATTGGACAGTGCAATTCTAGATCAGCACTGGCTAAGAGAAATATAATGTGAACCATATATGCGACATAAAACTTTCTAGTAACTATACAAAAAAAGGAAGAGGAAATAAGTGAAATTAATTTAGTAATATATTTTGTTTAACCCACTTATTAAAAATATTACCATTTCAGCATGGAACCAATATAAAGAGTCTTAATGAGATATTTACATTATTTTTTTCATACTTTGTACTAAGTCTTCAAAATCCGGTGTGTATTCTGTACATTTCACTTTGGACTGGCCATGCTCCTAGTACTTAATGGCTGCAGGGGCCAGTAGCTACTGTCTGGATGGTGCCGACTATTTAGTCGTTGCTGAGGAAGCGGGGCCTAGCAGGGAAAATGACTTTTTCAGTGGCATTCTGTCTGCAAGCCCTGTTTGTCTGCTGTCCAGCTTCCCCCTCTGAGAGATACCTAACTTCCAGCAGCAAAACAAAAAGAATTTAAGTTTTTTTGTTCCACCTACCAACCAGTTCCTAAATTTTGTGGACAAATACTTCATACGACATTCAAAATACGACTTATAAATTGGTGGGCTGATTAGATTCCTAGAAATGGAAATGAAGTAGATGATGATGGAAGCAAAGAGAAGAAATTGACTTGATCCTCAGAAACCTGGGCAACCCTGGGAAAGAGTAATGCGACTGGAAAGCTAAACAAACAGACATCACAGAGGGCTGCGTTTCTCACACTGGGGGGCTCCGGGCTCACACACTCAGGGCTCTCGGGATGTTTAGTTTCTTAAAATGCAAATACCAGCAGCTCTGGGATCCAAGTGGGTGATGTGGGGGAGTCGTGAGTTGGCCATCTTAATTAGCTTCCTAAACGATTATTACATCAAAGTATGTCACTGAGCTGGATTTATGAAATTCCATAACGGTCAAGGATTTGTAAAGAAGTTTGTCTTAGAAAATTAAAAGTATTTCTGGTCCTAGGTCATCCTTAGTCATAGTATGCTGGGCTCAAGGAACATAAAGAATTGACTGATGTCAAAGTACAGTTGCAGCATGGTTGGCTCATTTACAAACATGCTTGCATTTGAGGATGGGGAGAAAGCACCCAGGGCTCTAGAATTCCTTAAAAAACAGTATGTGGCCAGGTGCGGTGGCTCACGCCTGTAATCCCAGCACTTTGGGAGGCCGAGGTGGGCTGATCACGAGGTCAGGAGATTGAGACCATCCTGGCTAACAAGGTGAAACCCTGTCTCTACTAAAAATACAAAAATTAGCCGAGCGTGATGGCGGGCGCCTCTAGTCCCAGCTCCTCGGGAGGCTAAGGCAGGAGAATGGCATGAACCTGGGAGGCGGAGCTTGCAGTGAGCCGAGATCACATCACACTGCACTCCAGCCTGGGCGACAGAGCGAGACTCCTTCTCATTAAAAAAAAAAAAAAAAAAAAACCAATATGCTTCCTTTCATTCCATTTAGCAAGAAAAAGTACTCTTTTGCTTAGTCATTGCTTGTACCCTCTAGAGGGTGGCTACTGCTTTTAGTTCTGTTTTTTTTTTTTTTGCAGTTCGAGGGTAGGAGTTCGGCTAATGCAATAAGTAAACCATTGTTTTTGGTGATTCTGCATGAATTTGCTGCAGCAGCAGCTGCCTGGTATTTACAAGCAGGAAATCTACCATTGAAGTCTGGAGACAAGGAATAATACATGAAAGGAAGAAAGGAATGAAGGGGAGATGATGGTGCTTCAAATTTCCAATTCCATGAGAGATGCAAATGACACTCTCTCCCCACAGGGACAAGAGGGCCAGGGAAACTTCGCCTTGTTCAACCATCAGAAAATATGCAGGCTTAGACCAAAGGCATCTTCCTGCTACCTGTAAGGAAAAGGTCTTAAACTTCTAAGCCTCAATGACTCCACTGCCTCTTCATGGGCCTTGTTAAAATGCAGACTTCCAGTCTGAGACAGATGATGACTTGAGGGGCTCAGGGCCCTTGCTTGAGAAACCTGTCATCAGCTGCACAAAGTTGCTGCCATGGATCACTTATTGAATGCTTGCTGTGTGCAGAACGCCATTCTATGGGCTATATGTGTATTATCCCATTTTATCCTTATGACTATCCCATGAGGTCACTTGTATTTTCTATATTGTACAGATGACGAAACTGAGGCTCAGAGAGATTAAGTTACTTGTCTGAGTTCACATAAATGGTAAGTGGCAGTAAAGATTCAGCTCTATGTAGGTCTGGCTTCAAATCTTGTGCATAACCACCAGGCTAGAGGTTCTCAAAGTGTGGTCCCTGGGCCAGCATCATCAGCCTCACTGGGGGACTTGTAAGAAATGCAAATTCTCAGACTCCCCACCTGATGTACGAAACTGGAAACCCTGGGGCTAGGTCCAGCAACTGTGGTTGAACCTGGGCTCCGGGTGATGCTGATGCCTGCTCAAGGTTGAGAACCACTGGACTGGGCTAAGGTCTCTGCTCTCCAGCGGCAGCACTGCAGTCTGATGAGTCAGGGGACAGGAAATGCTTCCATAATAATATTGGTTTTGGTAACATGCTGCCTGCAGCTACAAAATGACAGTGGGGATAATAATGGCAGGTGAAATAGTGCAATTTTCCAGGTCACAGAAAGCTAGCACTCCCTCCATGGCTCTATAGATCCATCCACGAGAAGAGGAGCCAAGGCACATGAGTTCCCATCTCAGCCACTTTGTCACTGGGGATACTGGCAGCAGTTGAAGGGCAGGACCAGAAGCTAGGATTGGGGAAGGTTGGGAATGAAGTGCGGGGATGGAAAGCCTGCAGCTTTTGAAGGAGCAGGAAGTCTAAAATGGCCCAGAAATCAAAGGTGAGCAAACAAGTATAACATAGGTGATACCCTAGAAAACATGTACAGTAGACAATAGTCCCCCTTATCTGCAGTTTCACTTTCTGCAGTCTCAATTACCTGTGGTCAACTGTGGCCTGAAAATGTTACGGTATTTTGAGAGAGAGAGAGAAAGGGAGAGAGAGAGTGAGAGAGAAAGGCAGAGAGGAAGAGAAAGAGGGACCATACTCACATATTTTTATTACAGTAAATTGTTATAATTGTTCTATTTTATTAGTTGTTATTGTTAATTTCTAACTATGGCTAATTTATAAATTGAATTTTATCATAGGTATATGTATATATGGGGAAAATAGTAAATATAAAATTTGTTACTATTCATGGCTTTAGGCATGCACTGGGGGTCTTGGAACATGTCCCTATCAGGTAAGAGGAGACTACTGTATTTTTAAATTTAGGCTTCTGTTAAGCTGCTTATTCCCCTTCTGTTATAGCCTAAATCAATGCCTGAATTCCTGGGCTTGCATTTGTTAATGTATGTGCAGTGAACATGAAACAACTGAATCATGAAGCCCATGGTAGTGGGGCCATGGCTGGGAGCATGCTTTAGAGAGGTTGTCAGGTCATCAGCATAGATTAATTTCTTCAAGTAGCACCTGCTGGGAAGGTGGTTTAGCCCTGTCTTCTACTCCAGCAGCGCAGAGGGTAAGGCATTTTGCAGAAAGCATTTGTGGATTTTTTCCAAATCTAGGCAGTAAACAGATTGCATTCCCAGCACTCCCCCCAAATTCCCTTCATTTCCTAGATCTGTGGAAAGGAGCACATTGAAACAGAAATAGAGGAGGCCATAGAAATCTAACTGATGGGATCTGACTGCTGATCTAGATATTATTGTTAAGACAGAATTTTGAATTGATGCAGACAGTGAGATTGAGAAGGCTCTGCAATGAATGATACTGGGAGGATCACAGGTCCTAGTGTTCAGCATGAACCAGGACCAGAAGAGAAACATCTAATTAAGAAACGTAATGAAAAGGAAGGGAAGATGGGTAACCACAAGCACCCACCGTGGTTACACCTTTGACTTATTTGTATGTATAAAATCAGTGAGCATTACAACAGAATCTCTTGGATGCTGTCACAAAAATATCTGCCTTATGGGCAATATTATGCCAGACTTTAAATACAGTTCTCAGGGGATCTACTCTGTTTTATATTGAAATTCATCTCATTATAATGTATTTCTCACTTCGGTCAAACAGTAGGAAAGTTCAGATTTACACAAAAGATAAACCAGGGACCAGTTATTTTCTCAACTAGAGGATTCTTCAGATTGCAAAAGGTGTCATCATATTTCTTTTAATTGCAAGCTTTAAATATTAATGCATTTAAAATCAAGTTTAAACCTAATTATTTTCTCTAGCTTGCATTTGCACACAGGGAGGTATGTGTATCTGTTGAATGTGTTTCATAATGGATTTTGCTCATACTGAGAAGTGGCTTGTGCAGGCATGGATGCGCCATGAATCAGCAGTTCTTGTGGGCACCATTATCTTCTGCACCTCTCTCGGATCCTGACATGAATAAGGCATAATTAAGTCCTCTCAGGTTTTCATTGGTTGAATTACATCAATCGCAGCTTTCAAGGTCTCAAAGAAGATTCCTTGACCTACAGATACTCTAATTCATAATCATATACACTCAGTGTATACACACATGCACACACACACACAATTTATTTAACTCGCTTAAGCCTTTAATTTCAGTTGATTTTGGCAGTAGGTTGTGTACAATTGATATCTGCAAGTCAGTCTGTGAATCAATACACAAATTATTTTTGAAAGAGTATTACTCACTTGGTGTTATGGAACCAAGGCCACTTTGCCTGGGTTGATCTACCCTGGTCAGAACTCATAGAAATTTGGCCAGAACCAGGTTTGATAGTTGACATGTCTCTTATTATCAAGTGTGAAAATCATGTGTTCCTTGGACACATTGGGGCAAACAACACACACTGGGGTCTGTTGGAGGGTGGGGGATGGGAGGAGGGAGAGCATCGGAAAAATAGCTAATAGACGTTGGGCTTAATACTTAGGTGTTATCATGGGATGGTATCACAGATCATCATGGGATGATCTGTGCAGTTATTCACCATGGCACACGTTTAACTATGTAACAAACCTGCACATCCTGCACATGTACCCCTGAACTTAAAATAGAAGTTGGAAATAATATAAAACAATTTTTAAAAAGAAAGAAAATCATGTGTTCATTCTATTTACTTTATGGCTTTAATCTGAGTCTCTACCCAAATCGCCAGGTTCACTTCCAGTTGAGAACCTCACGTCTCCACGGCCCTACACAATATATTCTTGACAGTCCAAACATGAGCCACCTTTAAGTCATTTCTCTCCACTTTTTAATTGGGTAGAGCTTGTGGAGCAAGAATGAAGTGTTGCTTCTACTTCCCAGGGTGATACCTGAGTTTCAGGCTCCACAGTACATCTTACAACCAAATTTTGGCTCTATTTAACTTATTTCACTTTCATCTTCCTGACGTGGAATATTCTAGGAAACTGCTTGAACAAAATGAACCTCATTGAGAGTGGACATCAACATGTGTTGAACGCTTGATAAATCAGAGACTGAAAGAGACTGGAGTGAACTTGACTCCATTCCAAGCTAGACAGGGCTGTGGGTGTCTCATGTGTGGTGCTGGTGAGTGCTGACAAACCCAGACTTTGGGAAAAGTCTTTATGTCAGACTATTGTGGGCTAGGGTGACAGATCACACTTTGATAGATGTCAGGTTCCCTTGAAGGGAGTAGACATTCCTAAGATTATGCATTCTGGATGGAAGTCAAGCCAGTGGTAGAAAATAAAAATTTTAGAGGCTGACCTTAGATCAAAGGAAGAAGACAAAACAGAACAGAACAACATAGCCATGAAAGACTTGTTCAGTTACTGGTCAGGAAATTCTGGGATCCTGAGCAGGTTGGCAGTGTGAGATGTTATGGACTGGCTGCTCCTCTGGCTCTATGGTGAACCAGTTTGAGTCCTCTGGCCTGTTTCTATGACAGACCCACCAGAGTTTATCAATCAGCCCTGCAGTTTTCACAAAATGCTCCAACCCTCTGCCTCAAGGTCCCTCGGGTAGGGGAGGAAGCCCAGGGACTCAGTGCTGTGATTTCTAACGCGTCAGACACATCACATATCTTATTTAGTCTCCACTCTTACCCAATAATGAATTATGGCCACTCTCATTTGATAGATGCAGTAATTGAGAAATAGAGAAATGTAATGGCCCTCCAGACTGTCCATGGCAGCTGTGGGGAGGGAAGGAGACCTCCAGGCCTGCTCTCTGGCTTTTTCCTAAGGTGCTCTTCCTCCTGCCAGCTGCCACTCTGACCAGCCTATCTGTTAAGTCCCTTTTGCCCCAAATCTAATTTTTTGGCACAGGTCTTATAAAGCAGAGTCAAAGCACAGGTGTGGCATTGTCCTTGGTGTCCTGGATCTGAATTTATGCTGCAGCTCAGGTCAAGTGTCCACCTGGTGACAGCCCCCGCATACCTGTGCTCAGTAACTCTGGCTAAGAGCCCTGGATTCTGACTTACCTTCTAGCAGTGGTTCACAAAAGTTAACATGCCACAGAACCACTTAGAGCAGGACTGATCAGTCAAAAGAAGAATAATACTTCACCACATGTAAGAATTAAATGAAATTTAAATTTCAGTGTCCATAAATTAAACAAAGCCAAATCAATTATAAAATACATGCAGCAGATATAGACATACCTCACTTCATGTAATCTGGGCACACAGCCATGTCCACTCATTTTCATATTATCTCTGCAAGGGAAGGGTTGAGCAATTGCCACAGAGACCATATGGTCTGCAAAACCTAAAATGTTTACTATCCTTCCCTTTCCAGAAGAAAGTTTGCCAACACATGGCCCAAAAGGCTTGTTAAAATACAGATCACTAAGCCCCAACCCCAGAGCTTCTGATTCAGTACGTCTGGGTAGGGACCAAGAATCTGCCATTTCTAATAATTTCCTAGATGATGCTGATGTTGCTGGTCTGAGGACCACACTTTGAGAACCACTGCCTTATAATAATGGCTGGTTATGCCCAAAGATGATCCTTTGATTTCTATAATTTTGTTATGCCCTTTAAATCTTTTTCCGGTCTTAGTGGAGGGCTGAAATGAGTTTACTTCTTCTCTAGCAAAGCTTTCTTTATGTTTACAGAAGATATACAGCAGAGGGGTTTGGAGCTGGACAGAAACCCAGTTCCACCCCCCGCTGGCTTTGTGACCTTGGGTAAGTTAGACTCAATTTCCTCATCTGATAAGATGAGGGTGTATGTAGGAAAAAACAGTTTTTTCCTCCCATATTCTCAACACAGAGCACTTCTGGTCACCACCTGGCTTGGCTCTCACTCCTAGAGATTCTGATATCATTGGTCTGGGGTATGGCCTGGATGTTGGGAGCTTCAAAATTATAAAGGGAGATAATAATGCAGCGCTGCCAGTAAAAACATTAAAGAGAGTCACACATATAATTTTATGTTTTCTAGGAGCCACATTTTAAAAGTTGAAATTAATTTTAATATAATATTAATATCTTATCATTGATAAATGATTAAAATAATATATTAATGATAAATTCTACTTAACTCAGTATATTCCAAATATTAACATTTCAACACATAACCAGTGGAACAATGATAGAGATATTTTACATTCTTTTTCTAAGACTAAAGCTTTGAAACTGAGTCTGTACTTTACACTTACAGCACATCTCTATTCAGACTGGCTACATTTCAGGGCTCAGTCGCGACCTGTGGCTTGTGGTCATTGCTTCAGAAAGCACAGGAGCAGTTAATGTGCGACCAAGATGGAGACCCACTGGGGTAACGGCGCGCTTGGTGTTTGCAGACCAGACCAAAGCTCCCGGATCACACAGGGGTTCTATCGGCATTGTTGTTCTTGAGGATTGAGGGAGTTGGCTGCAGCTTCCCTCCTTTGGGCTAGGAATTAGTTGTGGTCATTAAGGACATTCAATGAAGCTCAATTTAGTCTTAAAAGTGGATGTGTAGCTTATGGAACCTGTTTGAAAGCATGGCAATCAACTAAAGCAAATACATCTGAATGACTCGATACTATCAGAGGAGACAGAAGGACCAAGGCAGCTTTAACAGAGAAGAAAGTAAAACAGTGGCCAATGTTGTCTCCTTCTCAGTGAGCCCACAGCCTGAGTAAATGGGGCTGTGGGTATCCCAGGCAAGAGGATGGCTGTTAGATCATCCCTTGATATTCTACGCAACTCTTTGATTCAGAACTTTCTATTCGAGTCCAAATATCGCTGGATATTACATAGGCTGTAATTCTCTTTGAAAACTCTTAAATTTATTCCCAGGGGAAGAGAATTTATTCTCTCTATTCTTTCCTGTAATGATAAAGTAACACTTAAAAGAGTAACCTTGCAAATTTATCATAAAAGCAAGCGAGATTTCCAAAAAAGACAAAAATAAAGATCTGCAGAGATAAGTACTCTTAGCACTAAAGTGTGTACTCTTTCAGAGTTTTTTTGTGTATACACTTACACACATTTTATACAATAGGATTCAACAGTGACTACACTTTTATAGCATGCTTCTTTGTCACATAATATTCTTACAAGTATATTTTCATGTAATTTAGTAATCTACGGCATCATTTTAAAATCACAGCATACTGTACCTTTGTTTGGCTGAATAATGACCTACTTAGTCAATGCCCTATCGTTGGCCATATACGCTATTTCCTCCACATTGTCAATCACAGCATAAGTAATCATACTGAAAGAGCATCAGCTGGTCTTTGAATCCAATGTGATGCTTGCCTTAAAGCTAGCTGAGGACAAGGCAGAGGGAAAGGAGGCAACATTTCAGTCTCACTAAGCCTGACCCATTTTGTGTTTTATTTGGCTTGGAGAAAAGCCAGCGAGATGCAGTTTGCAGAGGAATGCATAGTAATGCCATGGCAATGATACCAAACAGCTCAACTGCCAGTGACACCACAATGTGCCACCCACAGTGGACATTAAGTTTTCTCACCGCTCTGCTAAGAAGGACCTGCAAGCCCCAGAGCAAGCCTTTTTATGTGTAACATGTCAACAGCAGCTTGTGCTTGGATTTGGATTGACTTTAGTTCTCCCTGGTGTTCTTTTTTCCCCTTCTGGTCTTACTATTAACCATTTCTTTGGAATAGAATCATTCCTGCAGTAGGTTTGTGGGTGGGTTAAAACAATTTAATTATCCAAAAAGCCTCTGACTTTAAGATTTTAGTTTCTCTGACTTACATAGTTTACATAATTATTTGTTCATGCAGCATTTGTATATCACTTTTCTGATCATTTTACACTATATGATATTTTACACTATATGAAGTTTTCTGGCAATTTCCCCAATGCCAGCTTCTCAGCTTGCCTATGCAGTCATCACTCCCATTGCAATAAAGCAGATAAATAGCTGCAGAGCTGTCCAACCTTCAAATAAGGCAAATGTCAGCCTTTTGAGCTGCTAAACTGAATTGAATACCTCAAACTGATTTAGGGAACCATCTCTCTTCTGTTTTATCAATCCTATTAAAACCATACGCAGGCAAAAATAGCAAGGTTTTCTTATACTTGAAGGACCAGGAAAATGTACTCTCTGCTAGGATTTGATGCATGTTGTGTCTTTGTGCCATGCATAAGCAGCCTTAAGTAGTCATTTTTAAGGTGAACTGGTAAAACTGTGTTCAATCCATCATATGTTCACAGGCAAATGCAATAAAACAAGTATCTATTGTGTCTTTACTTTGTGCCAGGTCTCTTTGCCATGTCAGCAGAGACAGATAGGAGCAAGAAATATGCCTTCCTTCAAGGAGTTTAAAGTTTAATTGGGAGGGACACACACTAACCGTAAAATTCAATTCCATCTGAGATAAGCACTACAGCAGAAGTAGGAACACGATGCTCCCAGAGCACCCAGAGGGAGCACTTCATCTGTTGGGGCTAGAGGAAGCTTCAGAGAGAGACAGAGAGAGAGACAGACAGAGAGACAGAGAGAGAAAGGGATACTTGAGCTAGGTCTGGATGAAAAGCAAATAGCAAGTGGGCCACACATGCTAAGGGGACCATCCAAATAATGTTGCACATGTTAAAATGCAGCTCTGAAGAGAAAGTGGCAAAGGATCCCTTAAGGCTGATGCCGCAGGTATGTATAGGGGGGTGGAGCAAGATGTGGCTGAAGAAGGGAGGAAGGGAGGGAGGGATGGGGGAGAGAAGGGAGAGAAGGAAGAAGGGGAGGGAGGGAGGAAGGGGAGGGAAGGAGGAAGGGGAGGGAGGGAGGGAGGGAAGGAGAAAGGACTGACTGTGGTTGAGGAGCTCGGGGTTGGCCCAGCTGAGGGCAGGTGGAAAAAGTTAAATAGGGACGGACTAATGATGAGTTCACCATTCTGAGGAAATGCATGAACGTACTTGATTAATCAGAAATGTCTCCAGTAAGTTGAGAGAGGAAAACTGACTTATGATTTTAAGGTGGGTTAGCTAAGAAAAAAAAAAAAGTCCCAATTTGAAACAAAGTCAGATCACTGGGCAGAAAGATTTCTGAAATGATAATTTTAAATAAACCCCTTGGCCAAAAGCAAGACACACTCATTTGTTGTATTGTTTGTTCTTTTATTCATTCATTCATTAAAGCTAAGATTGGAGTCAGCCTGCCTGGGTTCAAGCCATGGATCCTTCAAGCTCTGTGACTTGGTGCAAGTTCCTAAACCCCTCTGTGCTTCAGTTACACATTTATGAAGTTGGAATATTAATGTAGTATTAACTTGTAAGGTTGGTGTGGGAAGTAAATGACTTATTGGGTCTAAAGCTCTTAGAACAGGGCCTGGTACGAATGCTCAATCGTGTTAGGCATTTTGCTCTGCGTGTGTCTGTATTCAGAGCTCTCTGTGTGTCAGCCACATTTGAAATACTGGGAATAAAAAGACAAAGGTGATATGACCCTACCCTCAAGCAGCTCGTGGTCCAATGTGGAAGATACACGGCAGTAAACCAGGACAGTCCAACATGGCAAACGCTAGGATACAGTGATGTGCCACACACTCGGGAGGGATGGCGAGGGTGGTGAGGCAGCCAGGCTGGTTCTGCCCTCTACAGATCCCAGCAAAGTTCCCCCGACTTCCATCTGGCCAATCCTCCCTTAAGTTCCTTGTTTTCTTTTGTCTGCATCCCTCACTGTAGAAAGGAGATTCCAATTTCTTCTAGATCTTTCATTTAAAAGGAGTAATTGCAGCATTTCACAAGGAATTTACTGTTTAAAATTCTAGCTCTCTTGAATGAGAAAATAGATAAAGGAGTATTTCTGAGATGTGGGGTGAGGGGTGTATTGGGGGTATGCCCTGCCTTGGCCAGTGGGAGTAGGAAGGAGACCCTGGGAGGGGAGAGCAGCTGGGAGAGAACCACTCCTGGGGAAGGACAGTCAGAGAATAGAGCCAGGTTTTAACCACACCGCGGAAGCATCTCAGGGCCTTGGTGAAGCTGTGGGTAAAGACAAGGAGGAAAGGAGAGGTGGGGACAGGTGGGGGAAGGTGACCTGCCCTTTCTTCAAGGCTGTATGGCAGGCGGTAGAGGGTTGGTGCACTGCCGAAAAGGTAGCTAATATAATGGGGTTTCCGTTTCTCTACTTCGAGTGTAACTCCCGGATGCCCTGCTAGTCAATGACCCACGTGGGAAAGGTGGTGACATATCATAAGCTTCATTTTTTTTTTTCGTTTTTGAAGTCCATTACTATATTAAGGACATCCTGCCACTAAGGAAGTTGTGGAGGGAAAACCTGGGAGCACTCTGAACCTCAATGGATTTTTGGAACCTCTTGGCTCTTTCTGCTGCCAGCCCTTTTTTATAAGATGCTGCTACTCACAGTAACAATGTTCTGTTTTAAAGCATCTCATACGTGTCATTTCATTTTGATATTCACAACAGCCCTGTAAGGTAGGCCTATGGAATGGGCCTTATTGTTATTTTTCTGCAACACATGCTGATAAGTGAGGATAAGCTCGTCCAAAGGCGAGGGGCAGAGACAGAGCTCTGGTCTGGGCGTCCTGGCCTCAGATGCAAGTTCGAGTTTATCTCTCTGCAGGCCCCTGCCAGCAGTGAGCAAGACAGATGGCTTACCTCCTTTCCTTCTTCCACAGAAAGAAAACTTGGGCAGAGCCGCCTCACAGATGGGATAGGAGAAATTCAAAACAGATGAGCCTTGAGACATGAGAGCTAGGTCAAGAAAAAGCTCTTTGATGTCCTCTCCTGGAGGAAAGAGAAGAACAGCTTTACTCTTACTGCGTGTTTCACTGTGTATCAGAGGCATTCACAGTATACAGCAGCATGAGCTAAAGAACCTTTTGTTTCCATTAATCTTCTCTGTGTGGGGAACAGTTTTCTTCTTTCCTTGGTAAAACAGCATTTAGGCAATGCTACAGGGGATTATGATGGGGCCCTGCGTATGAAAGGTGGCTGTTTCTCAAAATACCTGCTTGGAACAAGGTAGTTAATCAGCTGAGCTCCCCACCCTGATGCTATGGCCTTTTAATGTGATGTCTGCAGGTCTGGCTTCTGGAATTTCTCAGTTGCATAGTATCATTTGTTCCCCATGATGGCGGTGGGGTGTGGTCACGCCTACATACACCTGCTGCTGTTGCCAGGGAGGTATTGCAGCACAGGTGCACAGGAAGCTGCAGCGGGTTCCATGGTGGTGGCTTCCAATTCTCTCTTTTTCTCCATTCCTCCCTTTTATGTTCCACCCACTCTTCTATTTCTCTTTTCTCGCTTTTTCTCTCCCCATAACATTTCTCCAGCTGCTGCTAGAGTCCAGATACTGTGTAAGATTCTAGAAATACAAAGATGCGTGAGAGTTCTTGATTTCTATGAATGTTCCCTCCATTTCTCTGGAATGATTCCACATGCTAAGTTTATTAAACCTCTCTACTTTGATTTTGATATAACTGCTTTGGAAAAGGAGGTCGTCTAGTAGCTATAGAAAATATATTGACCAACTATAATTGCATGATCATATGAAAATTAAACAATCAGAAAGTGCTCTAGCTTACTGATTGGGGTAGGAGAGAAAATATTACATCTCCTCCTTGCCGATGTCAAAGTTTAAGAATTTGTATTAACTATTTGGGATACAAAATAACACAAATGACAAACCGTACCGCTGGTAGTAGATTTATTTGTTGCTGAGATAACTAAAAAAGTTAGGAGATCCTGAGTAGACATTAATACTTAATCTCAAAATATTTTCCTTTTTTTTTGCTGGGTATACTGATTCCAGGTGCTTATATCATCCAAATGAGTGCCTAGAGTCTTTTTAATACAAAAGTACAGCTTTAAGTGAGAGTTCTACCCTACCTGAATATAACCCAGAGAAAGATTTGAAAATGAAGATATAAATAGAGTTAATTCCAGAGAGTGGTGAGGGAACAGTAGTTTAGCCAGTCATTACAGTTAACATAAGTCATTGGGTGTGTGGAGTTGGAAGAGGCTGTGCAATGTTTTATTTCATGCTAATCATTTTTTTTACTTACTCAGAATAATTCCAAATCTAATGTTGATATTTGATTTTAATTGCTTGGAACACTTTTCAACAGAAAAGCCAAAATCTTGTAATGGATCTACGAAGAAGAAAACAATAGATTAGTTGCGAGTACATCGTATATTTTGCAAACATATTCAAAATTTGCAACAATATTGTTTTCACATGAATTGCTACATTTATTCAAAAGCATATTGCCCAACACTTTTTAAAATAAGCCCATGATATTTTCATCAGCTCCCCCCCGTGTCTTCAAAGCCAACATCATGTTCACTCTGACAACAGGGGGCCTCCATCCATGGAATAAACAGGGTCTTGCTAGTTGGGTTATATCTTTACTTGTTAATGTTTTTATCATAGAAAATGTTTATCATTGCCTGAATTTTTTTAGTTCCTGAACGTTTGGCCTTAAAATTGCTCATGGATTGCATAGCGGATTTAATAAAGTATCTATTATTATTATCAAAACAGAGGGAGATACAAAAGTTAGGAGAGCTTGAGTAGACATTAATACTTAGGCTCAAAATATTTTCTAAAAAGATTTTCAAAGTTAAGACCTGCCTTTCTAATTCCATTTTATCCCATCCCATCCCAACCCATCCCATCCCATCCCATCCCATCCCATCCCATTTAATGTAATGCTTCCTCCTCCAAATATTCCACTATGTACAAGGTATTGTGTTAGATATGATAGGGGCTATAAAGATAATATTTTCTGCATACAACTTCTGCTCATTCACAAAGCTCCAATGGCTTATCTATGCCTCAGAATACAGTCCAGAAATGAGCGACTGGCTCCAACTTCCATCCTCCACATCACAAATCCATCCTTCATTCCTTGAGGCCAGAGTGGCAACATACACACCAGCACATTCCCACCATGTTTGATTTGCTTGTGTGCTTTCTCCCATTTGCAATGGTCTTAGTCTTTTTGGCCATTATCTAAATCCTCAGGTCTTGCTCATTCCCATCTTCTTTGTGAAGGCTTCCCTGCCCCCATATATTCTCTTGCTTCCTTGAACTCTTAAAACAGCGATGTCTGGCATTCTTGGTAAAGTGTACAAACATGTATCACTCTGCACTTTGCTACGTGGCTTATCCTGCAACACTGAATCTAAACATGAGATTTCTTAAAGGCCAGAGCTGGTTTCTTGTTTTGTTTTGTTTGTTTTGCTTTCCATTTCCTTTTCCTTTATGTTTCCCACTGGACTGGAGATAGGAGAGCTATTTTTAACAGAGGGTTTACCTTGTACTAATAGCTGAGCCTTGTACTTTAGGAGTGTTTTCCATTTAATTCTCTAGGTTCCCCAACACCTAGCAGAGAGCCTCACAGCCTCACAGTCTGATCCACAGTAAGCACTCCATAAATGTACATGTTGAGTGAATGGATGGGCCATATATTGGGGCTGTTTCTCAGCTCCAAATCCAGCCCTCTTTCCTCTGCTTTTTCACTGGGCTCTCGGTAATCATGTTTCTCCTTCACTGTCTGCCAGTCAAGGTAGCAGAGAGATGGAGGCTGGAGTCGAAGAAGGGACTTGCTCCTTCGTGAGTACTTGCTGGGAGTGTCACTGGTGATGGCCCATCATGTTGGCAGTGGCAGTTGGTTCCAGTTTCCAGCTCTCTTGCACCTTCCCAGCTTCAGCTGAGACTCAGCTCTGCGGGGCCCTAAGCTACTGCAGTAACAGCACATCAGAAGCTGTCACCCTTTCCTTAGCAGCCTGTGTCTCAGCTCCACAGGGTCCTTCTGTCAAGCATCCAGTTTCTAATCCCCACAACCTCTGCCTTTTGCTCTCCCAGCCTTCAGGGGTCCTTTCTTTGCTCTTTTGGTTCTCCAGCAACTGGTTCTCTAACCAACTTCCTATATCAAATTCTCTCTGTTAAAATAACTGATATGGTCTTCGTTTTCCTGACAGCACCCAGACCTGCAGAATAAACAATAATCTGAAGAGATAGGTATGATTTACCTCATTTTACTGTTACGAAAATATAGACTCGGAGATGTTGTATTAACTTATCTAGATCCCCACACTAGAAAGTGTCAGAGTCAAGATTCAAAGCCAGAGTTAAAACCAAACAAACAAACAAATTGCTCCCGGGTATTGTGCAGTGAAACTCACAAAGTAGAACCTCAACTACATATGTTACTTATTTGATTTGTAAGATTGCCCAGAATATTTTGTGTGCAGGCATATGGCATCTGGTAGTTCTGTTTCATAACTGATTTCCATTTCAGCTTAGCTATGAGCTCACATTTGCCAATGTAGTGTTCCAGACAGTTTTATCATCCACATTGCTGACCTGGAAGATGCATCATTGTCTATGATATCTGCAATGGAAATGATCACTAGGCAATTTCAGCCTTGCAAATCTAACGTAAGTACACTTTTGTTTGATCAAAACCCCTTTGGTCCAGTCACTAATTTTCCTAAGGGTGGGAAAGAGCCCTTTTGTCTTATGCTCATTGGACTCCTTCCTAAGTATCTCTGTGCTGTCCCAGGGTTTCTTTCAGCCTGGAAAATAGGAGCAGGGGGTTGGAGACGATAGTTCCTGCTACATCCTTGGCACTCAGTATTGAAAAAGACAGAAGCCAATGAACAGATGCTTAGGAAGGTGAATCCTCAAAATTGTGGATAAATTTAAGTTGCTATCCAGGCAAAATAAAAGAGGCTAAGTACGTATTGTGTTGTTGATTAGCAGCTATAGAATTACACTGTATGTTTATCAATATTTTAAAGGTATAGATAGAAAGAATCAACTAAGGGCGGGAGAAGGAAATAAAGCATTTTCTTGGTACTAGAAACACATTGTTGTTAGGAAAATAATCTCAATAAAGAACAAAGTCACAAAGAAAGCTGTAGGCTGCATCTCTCTGAGGATATGTATATAAAAGCAGAAAGACAGATTGCTTAAAAAGCGCTTAAGGGTTTGGTGAGCTTTCCTAGCAGTTATTTCAAATTTATATGCAAGAGTGATATCTTTGAGTGTAAACATGCAGTTTGTGGTCCTCTTGGGGAAAGTGACATTGGTTCTTCCTCCTCCCCCAACCCCACCCTCTCAAACTCATATCCTTCTCTGTATTTATTTGCATTTCCACTCAGGCACTTTGCATGTTTTATATTACATTATATTTGTTTGTATACCTCTGTCATTCCTCCACTAGATACTGCAAAGCTAACTCCCCAGTGCCAGGGCTATACATAATGTCTTAATATCATACTAAATCTCCAGTGATTGTTTGCTGGATGAATAGTAGTGGTTATTTGTAGTAAATTTGCCGAGAACCTTAAAGCAGGATTCCTCAATGTCATCACTATTGACATTTTGTTTTGGATATCCTTTGTGGTGGGTGCTGTTCTGCACATCATAGGATGTCTAGAAGCATCCCTGGTCTCTACCCACCAGATGCCAGTAGCATCCCCATACCCTCTAGTTGTGAAACCAAAAATATCTCTAGACCTTACCAAAGTATCCATGAGGGATAAACTCACCCCTGGTGGCGATCACTGCTTTAAATAATCACTGTATCAATTTCCAGGCTTTACCTATCCTGCAAATGCCTCAGAATCACCTACCAATATAAAAGATGGTAGGTTGCATTTTAAAGTAGTTCTCCTTCTACAGTATGAACAGTGACGGACAGGCTGAGAGCGGAGAGACTTTCCCTTGGACCCTTGCCTCAGTAACTTTTAATACATGTAAGACGGATCATCTGACTTTGGACTTTCTGAAGCAATAACATCGGAAAGTTAATCAGAGTTGGCGTTCTGGGAATTCAAGGGCAGAGATAAGTGTTTCCTCCAGATACTTCACTGTATTTCAGCAAATGACCTGAGGAAAGAAGTCAAAACTTCATCACGAAATAGAAGACTGTTCATTTTCAATATTTCTTCCTTGGCCTCTATGTGGCACTCCCTTGCTGTCTGTCCTGTTGACTTCTATGGCTTCCACCCAAGGGAGGACAGCATTATAGTGGGTGAATCCAGCACACCCCAAACTGCCCCTGCTCCCCTCTCCCCCGGGCATGTGGGCCCTCGAAGGCAGGCTTCTCCAAACCAGCAGCATGTGAACCCTGCCAGAAGTGAGGAAGAGCTCTAGGAGAGCAGCCAGCAGCATCTGTTTTGCATACAAAGGGCAGCAACAATCAAATCTCTTCTAGAAAAGTTTTCTTGGACATTCATGGAGTAAAATAGAGTTGGATAAACAAGCCAGGTTTAGAGTGAGCAGCGTTTGAACAAATATCAGCTCCAAAGGTATTGTTGTGCCTTCCACCCTCCATTAGTGGCCTAGGCTGGGCTAGACCTGGGCAGCTGTCGAGGGGAGGACAACCTTGTCAGAATGGCTTCTATTAACAGCTAGCAGTGGGCTTTCAACTGGAATCAGTAGGAAGAAGACAAAATCCAATGACACAGACTCTGGAAGTGAAATTCCTCAGCAGAGGATGGTGGGGGCCCGGGTACACTCCACTGGACCAATCCTTGATTTGACTTCAGGCAGCCGGAAAGCTTGGATGTATGTCCCTAAGTCCTGGAGGCCATGGATGTAGCTCCGCCCCCTGTGGCCTCTGCGTTGCTGGCTGGTTAGTTTGAGGCATAGAGGAGGGCCCAACTCTTACACAGCTAGTCCCATTTTCCATATTCTAGCTCTACTTGAGGTTTTTCTTTAGCTTTATATTTTGAAATAATTATATTTTCACAGGAAGTTGCAAAAAGATACAGAGAGGTCTCATATGTCTTTCCCCATCATCCCCCATGGTAAGATCTTACATGGAGGACAATACCAAAACTGGGACATTGACACTGATACAATCCACAAAGTTTATTCAGATGTCACCAGTTTAACAATCATTCGTGTGTGTGTGTGTACAAGCGCATGTATGTGCCTGTTTTTTACATTTCTATTGCTTGGGTTTAAAATGGTTAGAAATTGGTCTTCCTCCTCTCAGGGGAAGGTAGAATTCTTACAGCAGAGTCGCTGTGAAAAGGAGCTGACCCCCCTCCAATCTCACTTCCACCAGCCTTCCACATACTCATGGCCAAGTGCAACCCCAAGATTGCAATGTCCTTCCTGCTTTGTAAAGGTAGTCTTTCTCCCCCTCCCTTTCTCCTAGCTCTCCTCTTCTCTCTTCCTGTCTCTCATTCTTTCCCTCTCTCCCTGTCTCCCTCCCTTTCTCTCTCTCTGTTTCTCTTTTTCTTCTCATACCAGTACTTAGATCTGGCTACCATCCTGAGATTAAGAACACTGACTTTTCTTCAAACACATCTTAACATTCATGGCTCATTCCCTGTGGCCCACATTACTCTAAGAGCTGGTATTGCTTCCTGCATGTGCTTTTGGCAGAACACAGGCTGGCCCCAGGAGGATGTTAGGTATTACAAGCATGCTTCCAATAGAGGCACGACCTGCGGAGGAGAAAGGGCGTAGAGGGCCCAGGAGACCTTACCAGCCACAGGCAGCTTAGCTGCACTGGCAAGACTGCCTCTAGCAAACAGTTTATGGAGGGAAGGAAAAATTGGGTTAACAGAATGTGAATAAAGCTGGTCTGCTTCTGACTGCTCAATAAAACAGTACTGGATGGTTGTTTAATAATGGGGGGGTGTGTTAGGGTTCTCTAGAGAAACAGAACCACTTGGCACTGGAGACAGAGTGTCTGAGTGTGGTTGAACTGCTAGTCCCGGGCCAAATAGTAGCAGATATTCCTCTGCATCTTTCAGAATTCTTTCCCAAATGTAACAAAATAACAAACAGACCTTGCTTTTGATTTCTTCTTTTAGGTTGGCTGATGGCCAATTCTGCCAGCTTGTGTTCTATTTATCAAACAGATCTAGTTGGGCATGGATCTAGAAGTCTGTCTTCTTTCATGGCTGTACTTTTACTGGAGTGTCTTAATTTTCTTGGCGAATTCATAGGATGACGTTCAAGGGTCACCGTAGACCTTTACAGGAGGATGATGCATAAGGCTTCAGTAAAATCGCATTGCTGGAAATCCATTACCAGCACAATGCAAAATTAACTTTCTTCTTTTCTGTCCTTAATGCCACTGTGTTCCCTCCTCCTCCTCCCCTCATACTCCCTCCCCACCTTTGTGGAAAAAGAAATAATTTACAATGTGGTAAATGTATTCTAGCTGTGGTTTTCTATTATGTCCTGATCTCTTCTTTTTTCTACCTGTCAAATCTTATTACTGTAGCACAGCAAGGCTCCCCAATGGGTCATTATTTCAAATAATAGTAGTTCCACTCCCATTTGACTCTCTTATGCCAGCATTTCCTCGGGAATTGACTCACACATTCAAGTCATACGTATGAACTGGCTTCCGGTTTCATCTCAGATATGTAAACGGTGTGTTCAAAATACTTAAACATGTTTCTTGCTATCAAATGCAACAAAAATAAAATGAACACCATCATAATGGAATATCGACTATTTGTGATATGAGATGGTAAAATCTGCAACATCCTGCTGGCTGCCTGGCAACCTTGGTGAATATGTTTTTGAGTGAGAAGGTATGTTTGGGCTGCTAAACTCAAAATTCTGGATCCCTAGCTTGTCTGCTTTTAATTGCAAAAAAAAAAAAATTGAATTCATAATAAGCCTTTTTATTGACAGAAAAGGAGTAGGAATCTTGCATGGCCCCTCTGGCCTCTAAGTTCCACTTTCTCAGAATAACCTAAGTTTGGCTTCTATCAGCATAGGAGGAGATGGCTTTTCTATCATGATATAAACATGAGAGACCATAACAGATGAGTGGCAATGAAGACACTCTTCTGCCCAAAATATCTTGCCAAATGTCTTGAGGAAAATAATGACCTAATTGAGGCAGTTTTGTCTGATCTTTGCATCTTAGGAGTAGATCAACAATGCGCTAGCCAGGCGCGGTGGCTCAGGCCTGTAATCCCAGCACTTTGGGAGGCCGAGGCAGATGGATCACCTGAGGTGAGGAGTTCAAGACCAGCCTGGCCAACATGGTGAAACCCCATCTCTATTAAAAACACAAAAATTAGTCGGGTGTGGTGGCATGTGCCTGTAGTCCCAGCTATTCAGAAGGCTGAGGCAGGAGAACCGCTTGAACCTGGGAGGCGGAGGTTGCAGTGTGCCGAGATCGCGCCACTGCACTCCAACCTGAGCGACAGAGTGAGACACTGTCTCAAGAAAACAAACAAACAAACAAAAAACAAAACAAAACAAAAAAACCAAATGCACTAAGTGCAAGATTTTATTGTGTGTTACCAAGAGGGTGCCATGGCGCCACATAGCATAGGATCCTAACATGAAGGTGAGAGGAAACTGGAACCTGTCTTATGGGTGAGAGACAGTGCATCTTAGTGGCTGGAGGATGCAATAGGAAGAGCAACTTGGCTCATCATTCATTACCCTGTGATAGGAAGGGGATTAGGTCTTGGGGATAGACAAATCAGAAATGCTTCTGGTATCATCGTATGTATAATACTTCATCATCTGATTATGATAACACACTACTGAATAATAAACTCAACAAAAGATGCATGCAAACTTTATATATACTCTAAATCTCTCATTTATAGTCAACACATTATAGTCTCATTATCATCAACATTTTATAGTCTTCTGTAGACAAGGCATGTTTCCCACGGATTCACTTTATACTACCTTGCCTGCCCCTCTTCATTTTAAACACCATCTTAATAACAGTGTCACTCTTCTTTCTTACAATATGTTTCTTAACTGTCTAATATGCGCTGGACACTGTGCTAGCCGTGGTGGAACTGAGGTGGAAAAGGAGCATTTTGACCAGGCCAGTTCACCCAGAGCCCTACTATTGGTTAAGTAGCGACCAGATTACTAGGGCTTCCTCAAGTCTAGAAGCATCAGGGGAACTTGCCTCTTTGGCTTGGTGTTGGTAATTGTTCAACTTTCTGTTACTAATTTGGAGTCAGTCCATGTGGGATAGAAAAGTGGATAAATGCTAGTCTGCTCTCTTTTTACAATGGAAGATTGGACGTTAGCACATGCTTCTCCGCTGCCAATGTGGATTTCACCACTCCTTCTAAGGGAGAGCCTGGCTTAGGGACAGCGGGAACCATGACACTGGTGACACTCACACAACCAGGATACACCTGTTGTATTTCATGTCTGCGGTTCTTACGCATTTGTCTGTCTCTTGACAGGGGACAGAAACAGGGCCAGATGCACAGGGTGGTTTACGTGACTGCACAGCTGCAAAGATGATCTCTGGGACTTTTCTTGACATGCCGCAAATGCTGAAAAGGAATTCCCTTCTGCTTCTAGAAGTCATGAACTAGATATGATTTAAAAGAAAAAGCTAAGGTGTTTGTTGTCCTTGGCATCTGATGTTGTGGAATATGATGGATGGGTGAGCAGGAACTGACAAACTGGCTGGGAGGTAACAGCTGAGGCCAGCCTGGTCTGCTCATTGATGGTGCTGGATTTGAACCAAACGTACCAGGAGGTCCTCAAATGCAATTTGAATTGTTGATTCTCTCATTAGTCTTGAGAGTGGCCAGGGCATGGGGTGTTAGTAACATCCCTGTTTGCTAAGGAAGAGACTGAGATTTCAGGCAGGGAAGTGACTTCCTCACATCTCCAGACTCAGCCTCCAGGGCCCTCAGCACTGCACCCTGGTTGCTGTGCGGGTCTCACCCTGCAGTACATGAGCGAGGCAGACAGAAGACAGAAGCAGAGCTTTAGATGGAGGCGAAACGAGTCCAGATATGTGTGCCGGAACCTGGTCCTCCTAGGATTCAAGTTGCTTACAGAGAGGGACAAGACCCAACAAGCTTCCCAATTTTGATAAAATTCTTCACTGAGATTGTGCAGGTCACTGTCACTCTGCGAAGGTGCTGCTTTTCTCAACCCAAAGGAAACTGGGATAGAGGAAAATGCACTGAAGTGTTTTATTAGGAATTAAGAAAAATAATGCATATAAAGCATCTTGGCCAGTGCTAGGCACATAATAGATAGTTAATAATTGGGCAAAAGGAGGATGGAGTCTATTAGAAAGAAGATATTACAATATTGACTATTCTCATTACAGTTGCAGAAAATGAAACCAACTTCTTTTTAACATTTTTCTTTTTAATGTAAGAACACCCTAGGTTTAAAATAATTTAGTTAAGTTCATACATCTTTTTTGTATTATTATTTTTTGAGATAGGGTCTGGTTCTGCTGCCCAGGCTGGTATCAAACTCCTGGATTCAAGCGATCCTCCTACCTCAGCCTCCCAAACTGCTAGGACTACAGATGTGGTCCACTGTGCCTGTGCCCAGCTTTTTTTTTTTTTTTTTTTTGAGACAACATCTCACTGTCACCCAGGCTGGAGTGCAATGGCACAATCTTGGCTCACTGCAACCTCCACCTCCCAGGCTCAAGGGATTCTCATGCCTCAGCCTCTCCAGTAGCTGGCATTACAGGTGTGTGCCACCACCATGGGCTAATTTTTGTATTTTTAGTAGAGATGGGGTTTCACCATGTTGGCCAGGCTGGTCTTGAACTCCTGACCTCAAGTGATCCACCCGTTTCGGCCTCCCAAAGTGCTGGGATTACAGGCGTGAGCCACCGCAGCCTGCCTTCAGCCAAGCTTTAAGTTAAATAGATATTTCTGAGATGAAACCTAGATGTCAGTTGGGGCCTCCCAGCCCTTGAGATTAAACAGGATTGGTGGAACATAACCTCATGGTTGGGATGCTCTTTGCTGATGGTTCTTAATGTGGCTGCACGTTGAAATCAATAGGAGAGTGCTGTGAAAATACCCATGCCTGAGTTCCACCCCAGACAGTCTGATTTAATAAGTCTGGGTGCTGCCTGGTTTTCAAATGCTCCCCAGGTGATTCTCTTGCCTTGCCTAGTTTGAAACCCAATGTTAAAAGCCACACCAAGTTTTTTTTGCTCATTTCCTGATATATGATCTTAAACGTGAGATCCTACGTCTACCGTGTATCACTCGGCTCAAAGTTTAACCCCTTCATAGATGTCCTAAGAAATCTCCTTACAAACCATTTCACAAGGTGTACAGAATTTATGAAGCGTTAAGAGGCAGCCGCCTCCGCTTAGCCCTTTATGAGCCGGTGAGATGCTCCCGGCCTCTCCCTCTTTTTTCATGTCTCTGGCTCCTGTCTCTACAGGACACCATGTTTCCCCTGCCTCAGTCCTGAGGAGTTGGAACCTTGGCAGTTACCCAAGCGACTCTCAAGAATTCTTTCAAGAAAGGCACGGCCCTGCTTAGGTAGGATTCTTGCAACAGCCCCTAAAAGCATTTTTTTTTTCTGTTTCATTTCCTGAGCATCGACTCTCTGCCAAGCACGATCTTAGGCATGAAAAGATTTGAGATGAGAGTTCAGGGACAAAGAGAACAAAGCTGAAGAGATGAGCAAGGAGAGCTAGCGGAGGATGGGGAGCATGAGACAGGACACGCCTGCAAAAAACTCCCAATGTGGAGAAGAACGTGGAAGAACAGCAGAGCTGGGCAGATGTGAGTGGGCGGCGTGGGGCTGGGAGAGCCAAGACCAGAGAGCCTGGTATGCGCAGGAGTCCTGGGCTGCCTGCAGGCTCGCGGGAGCTCTGTGCTCGGGCGGAGAGCAATGATTTGAAGGTGGGAATGCAAGCATACACTCAAATAAAAAAAAAAAAAAAGAGACGTGATTATAAATAAAAGACATTTGGCGTCAATGAAGGAACTACTTAAGAGACAAGCAACATCTTTTGTAGCCGAATAAGCTTTACCTCCCTTTGCGGTCTGTGTTTGTAAGGCAGTCAAGGTTCACACTCTCAGCAATTTTGGGTGTGGTTCTTCTGCGGCTGTGAACTTGGACGGATTGTGTTGCGTTGTGTGTGCTTCGTGCCTCTCCATAAGCCACCGTGACTTTTGGAGATGGAAAGTCAACTCATCCATTTTGTTTCCTAAACACTGATTTTCTTCTGGAAAGGCTGCCTGTGTTCCTGAACACGGGAACCAATACAGGCTGTAAATAACAACTTATTCTTTTAGGGAATGTAAGTAGAAGGTTCTAAGGAATAAACTGTATGAAAAATATCTCCATCAGAATTTGAGAATGAGCTAAAAACGTCCCTTCACGATTTCTGAATTCCCCACTCTAGCAACACCTTGCTTCGCTCTTTACACTGCACTGTGGGAGCTGGTTAAGTGTTCGAGGAGTGACTGAAGGAAGGCGGATAAACCATCAGGCAGGGAAAGTAAGGGGCCCTATTGAGAGGTGACAGCATGCTGGCAGCCCTCGCTCGCTCTTGGGGCCTCCTCGGCCTTGGCGCCCACTCTGGCCGCGCTTGAGGAGCCCTTCAGCCCGCCGCTGCACTGTGGGAACCCCTTTCTGGGCTGGCCAAGGCCGGAGCCGGCTCCCTCAGCTTGCGGGGAGATATGAAGGGGGAAGCGCAGGCGGGAACCCGGGCGGCGCGCGGCGCTTGCGGGCCAGAGCGAGTTCCCGGTGGGCGTGGGATCGGCGGGCCCCGCACTCGGAGCGGCCGGCCTGACAGCAAGCCCCGGGCAGTGAGGAGCTTAGCACCTGGGCCAGCAGCTGCTGTGCTCGATTTCTCACCGGGCCTTGGCTGCCTCCCGGCGCGGCAGGGCTCAGGACCTGCAGCCCACCATGCCTGAAGTCTCCTCCCGCTCCCCACTCCCCCGCTGTGAGCTTATGAGCAGGCCAAGCCTCCCCGACGAGCAGCGCCACCCTGCTCCATAGCGCTCCGTCCCCTAGACTGCACAAGGGCTGAGGAGTGCGGGCGCACGGCGCGGGATTGGCAGGCAGCTCCACCTGCGGCCCTAGTGCCGGATCCACTGGGTGAAGCCAGCTGGGCTCCTGAGTCTGGTGGGAACTTGGAGAATCTTTATGTCTAGCTAAGGGATTGTAAACACACCAATCAGCCCCCTGTGTCTAGCTCAGGGTTTGTGAATGCACCAATCCACACTCTGTATCTGGCTACTCTGGTGGGGACTTGGAGAAGCTTTATGTCTAGCCAAGGGATTGTAAATACACCAATCAGCACTCTGTATCTAGCTCAAGGATTGTTAACACACCAATCAGCACCCTGTGTCTAGCTCAGAGTTTGTGAATGCACCAATTGGCACTCTGTATCTAGTTAAGCTGGTGAGGACTTGGAGAACCTTTATGTCTAGCTAAGGGAATGTAAATACACCAATCAGCACTCTGTATCTAGCTCAAGGTTTGTAAACACACCAATCAGCACTCTGTGTCTAGCTCAGGGTTTGTAAATACACCAATCAACACTCTGTATCTAGCTAATCTAGTGGGGAACTGGAGAACTTTTGCATCTAGCTCAGGGATTGTAAACGCGACCAATCAGCACCCTGTCAAAACGGACCAATCAGCTCTCTGTAAGACAGACCAATTGGCTCTCTGTAAAATGGACCAATCAGCAGGATGTGGGAGGGGCCAGATAAGAGAATAAAGTCAGGCTGCAGGCTCCACTAGTGACAACTGGTTGTTTCGTTGCTTTTGTGTGGTTGGTTTGTTCTTTTGCTTTTTGCAGTAAGTGTTTTTGTTGTTTACACTTTGGGTCTGCATTGCTTTTATGAAGTGTAACACTCCCCATGAAGGTTTGCGGTTTCTTTTATGAGGCCAGTGAGACTAGGTACCCACTGGGGGAAAATAAATGATTAACACTCCAAATGTATCACCTTAAGAAGTGTAATGCTTACTGCGAGGGTCTGCAGTTTCACGCCTGAAGTTAGCAAGGCCACTAACCCACGAGAAAGAAACTCAGAACACATCTGAACATCAGAAGGAATAAACTCTGGACACGCCCTCTTGAAGAACTTAACTGTGAGGGTCTGTGGCTTCGTTCTTGAAGTCAGTGAGACCAAGAACCCCCAAATTGTGGACACATCTATCAATCTTAGGAGTTGTTGAGCTGATTTTTGGAAATAATCAGCTTGCTTTTGGATCTTCTCAAATCTTGCTAATACATTGGCTTTTTAACATCTTCAATTTGCTCTCTCCTAATACAAGAGACCACAAAGATTATTTTCATAGTGTTCAGTACTCAGTTAAGGGGGTAGATATCCTTTCAAGTAGATTGCTTGGGACACGTGCTGGAAGTTAAGAGCAGCTGGCAGAACACAGCAGCAGTCTGATTTTTTTCTTATTTTTGGTAGGTGCAGAAAAAATGGAAGGAGAGATGCTAGATTGACAGGAGAGACAAAAGCCCTGCTATTTTATCGGTCCGATTGTTAAAGCTTTTTGAGCCCGTACTGTTTGATAGGCACTGTGCTAGATGTGGGATACAAAGGTGATTTAGTCTTAAGCATAGCCCCTGACTTTCAGGAGAAAGGGGGGACAAACACGACCGGCGCGCAGCGTAGCCACAAGGTGCGGTGAGAGAACAGGGAGGCACCAGTGTGGGTGACAGGAACTGCCACACGGTGGACAGGTAGCAGCGCTTTGCCTTGGAAGCTGTGGAGGCGGTTTTGTGTCCATTCATCTTAAGTATATTCCTATATATTTCCAAATACTTGCAGTAATTACAGATGAGTGTAATAACAGTGATCACTTCTATAGCTCTTTCCACAGCAGGTCCTGTTCTGAGCCCTACGTATGTATTAGCTGAAATCCTCACAAAAGCCTTAAGAGAGATGCTATCATCCGTGTTTTAGAATTGGGAAAACTGAGGCAGAGAGGGTTTATGGAAAGTGTGCAGGTTGAAAACCTTGTACTGGGCTGGAGTAGGAGCCTATGTTATGTAGGCTCTTTTCTACCAACTCAGGCACAGAGAATAATATATACAAAAAAACTCAAGTCCCAAAGACTGTGTATTCTGGGAACTTCACGTTTGTCAACAAAAGCTCTTCATAAAATCAAGTCAGTTGTGCTTTTGTGACCTTCATTTTGAATCATATAAATGCAAACAGTCCAGCTTGTTTCTTTGAAAGGCTGGAGGTCGGAGGTGGCTGGTGTTTGCTCAGACACGGCCAGATCTTAACGGTCCTAGAATCACCCCTGGAAGGACAGTGGAAAAACAAGATAATTTTCTTTTCCTCTATTGCTTAAAGTGGTATCAGAAAGGTAGACTTCTGTCTTCTTCCTATATATTTTCAAAGAAGGAGCCTTCCTTGGCAAAATACAAATTTCTGTGGCTGCTGGGGTCAGAAAGAGTTTCCACCGTCATCACAGGCCTTCATCTTGCAGGTAAGCTCAGACATGCTCACCTTCTTACTGACTTTGCTGAACATCGCTCATGTTGTGGAATAGAATTTCTACACCATTTGTGCTCATAGTGTGACATCAAAACCAGTATGTCCTTTGCAGCCCTTAAATACACACATGAGAATGCACACACACACCCCACAAAACAAAACCCCAGCCCTCCCTCGCTTTGGCCTTCTAGCTTGACCATTTTAGGGCAGACTGTCTTGGTATGTTCCTAGGGACAGAAGCTTCCATGTAACTCAGGCAGTAAATCAGGGCATCAGCTAGCACTCACCTTGCCCCCCCCTAAGCTTCCGTTTCTTCACTTGTAAAAGGAGGAACTGAGCACTATTTTAAGCTTCATGCTTCCTTCCTGTACCAGGCTTCTCAGATGCCCCAGAGGCCAGGGCAGTGGAGCCCAGACTCTGGGGGCTCAGGGCCTGCACTGTGGGTCATAAAGGCAGAGGGAGATGCGTAGCCTCAGGCTCAAGAGCTTCAGGCCATTTTTTTAAAATAAAATCTTTTTATCTTGAAATAATGATAGACATAGGAAGCTACACAAAGAGTACAGAGGTGCCCTGTGTACTTTCACCCACTTCCCTTCATGGTAACATCTTACAGAACCACGTATCAAAACCTAGTCATTGACACTGGTGTACTCTACAGACTGTACTCAGGTTTTAGCGGTTTTCACACGCACGCACGTGTTCGCTCTTGTAGTTCTATGCAGGGTTACTGCGTATAAGCACCACCATACAGATCCTGGCTGGGCGTGGTGGCTCATGTGTGTAATTCCAACACTTTGGGAGGCCTGGGCAGGAGGATCGCTGGAGCCCAGGAGTTCACGACCAGCCTGAGCAACATAGACCCTGTTTCTACAAAAATAGAGGCCAGCACCCTTCCTTGCCAGTGCAAACGTTTCTTGCAATGTTCAGGGCCCTGTAGCCAATCTTGGCCATACACAGAGGCCTACAGAACAAGCACGAATTCTTTTTTTTTTTTTAAATTTTAATGGACACACAATAATTATCCATGTTTATGGGTTTGCTTCCTAAATGCTTTCTAGTATGAGAGCAACTTAGCTTATTTTTCTCCCTGGCCTTCCTACATGTGCTAATGAATTGTCCGTGGCTGCCTCCAATCCCCCAGCAGACCAACAGGAGGAAAAAAATCAATTTGCACTTTTCCTAGGAAGCAATCCTGTTGGCAGAGCTGACTCATAAACAGCCTCCTTTTCTGTGTTAGCATGTTGCTGAGAGGCCAGCGTGACAGTGCTTCTGAATGTGGCCACCTGGATTTAAGGTGGAGTAGTGCCTCAACTGAGAGGCCCTTGAAGGAAGAGAAAGTGTGTAAGGAAGTGCATAGAGAATAAGAGATCCAGTATCTCCAGGGTGTGGAATCCCAGGCTTCCTTCCTAAAGATACCGTGAAGCTTTCCCAAGAAAGCAGAGTGGATACCCAGTGGGAGTTCCCACCCGTATGTCTTGAACTGGAACCAGGGAAGTCAAATTCTTCATTCCCAAAGCCAATTCGCCATTTCTTTCTGCATCTCTTATGTCAATGAGATGAAGCCAGGGTGGGTCTGCTGGATGCTCCAACTCTGCAATAGAGCTCTCCTGGACAGGAAGGAGGGAGGTGTTTCTATGGGAAATCTGAACTTGCTTGTACTTTCTCTTCATTTCACATAGACCATCCGGGAATAGGATCCCGGGGCCATGAACAATAAAAGATTACAAGCTCTTACAGGTGGATGCTGGAGGGGAAAAGCAGAGCTGCGGTTGGCTTGGTCTCTCTGCCAGCAAAATACATTCCTAACCAAGGAAAGGACTCATTTCTCTGCCTCCAGAATCAACACACCCTAGCATTCCCTTCCTGATTAGGGGAATAAAAAATACTTTTGCTAAAGATATAAAAAGAATTATATTGAAAGATAGCAAGCTGCCATGAAAAATAAGACAGGAAATTGGATTTCGGATGAATAAAGGAGAAGAGTTCACCCGTTGAACAATCACAGCCGTCCTTCCCCCGCAGACCTGCACACAAGTTAAACACCACGTGTGAGTTTCTTCTGCTTCACAGCAAAGTTTAAAGAAGGCCTGGCTCAACGCTATGCCCTTCTCTGTAACACCATTGCTGTAACCGTTTGGATATTGTTCAGCCTTTTTTTGCCATCTGTTCATGTGTCTTCAGAACATTTAAAAACTGTTAGTGTGCATGGAAACATTACTGGACAAAACTGATACAACTAGAGCAATTAGTCTAAATACTTTTGCCCAGGCTTAAGCTGCTGAAAACTGGAGAAAGAAAAAAAGGACTGGGCCGGTAAACATTTTCTGACACAGGAGACATAAATAACGGATATTCACAACAGTTTGTAATTGCAAAAAAGTGGAAACAACCTAAATTTTTATCAAAAGGAGGAGGGACACAATTGTAGTCGATACGTATAATGATGTACTCTACCTCCATGAAAATGAATTAAGTAACGCGATGCATGCTAGCTATCTCTTGAAATAATGTAATAAATTAGTCCCCAAATAAATTGCTAATTCAACTTTCATTAGTTCCAGTAATTTGTAGATTAGGTTTTTCTGCGTAGACAAAGTCATATTATATGCACATAATAGTATTTTTGTTTGCTCCTTTCAAATCCTTTAACATTTTCTTTTTCTTGTCTTACTACACTGGTGAGGTCCTTCAGTACAATGCTGAATACAAGTGGCAGTGACGGGCAAATTTGTCTCACTCTTGATTTTAAAGGGAACGTTTCCAATGTTTCACCATTAAATGTATTGTTCACTGTAGATCTATATTTTAGGTGTATTTCTTTAAAGAGCAGACAGCTAACTTTTAAAATGCAATTTGTCATTTTTTTGTTTTGTAAGATCAGGTTAATATAGTCCATTTATATCTATTAGGGCTTCTGATTTATTTTTTTATTTTTATTTTTATTTTTTGAGATGGAGTCTTATTCTGTCAGCTGGAGTGCAGTGGCACTATCTCAGCTTACCGCAACCTTTGCCTCCCGGGTTCAAGCGATTCTCCTGCCTCAACCTCCCGAGTAGCTGGGATTACAGGCACCCGCCACTACGCCCAGCTAATTTTTGTATTTTTTGTAGAGACGGGGTTTCGCCATGTTGGCCAGGCTGATCTTGAACAACTGACCTCAGGTGATCTACCTGCCTCAGCCTCCCAAAGTGCTGGGATTACAGGCATGAGCCACCGTGCCCAGCCAAGCCTCTGATATTTTAATAATTATTTTATCCTATTTTGGGTTTTCTTTCTTTATGCCTTTCCTCCCTTCTTTCCAGCATTCTTTTGGATTTAATTGGAATATTTTAATTTTTTCTTTTGTTTTTATTGTTTTGTTTATAGTTTGGAAATCATATACTTTATTTCTAGTCAGGTAGTACTTACCTTTGAAAATTTAACACGAATATCTTAATAAATCTTAAAAATAAACTTCTCTTTTTCCTATTTTTAAAACCTTGGTATATAAGTATGTATATATTTGTTTTTATTGTGGCAAAAAACACATGACAGTGAATTTCCCATCTTAACCATTTTCAAGAGTACAGTTTGGAAGTCTTCAGTATATTCACATTGTTGGGCCACAGATTTCTAGAACTTTTTCGTCTTGCATAAATAAACATTGTCTTTACTCTCCTCCCTGAAAAAGACCAGGTCAAGGACATGAGAATGCTTTAATGTTCACTCACCAGCCCCTCCTCTGTGTGCTATTGTTATCTGCCGTTTTGCACTAGGCAGCCTCCAACATGGCCCCAGGGACCCCCTCCTAGTGTTCACGTCCCGTGCAATCCCCTCCTCTGGAGTAGCCCAGTGACTTGCTTCTAAGCGGTAGTGAGAGGTGACAGCATGCTGGCAGCCCTCACAGCCCTCACTCGCTCTCAGCGCCTCCTCGGCCTCGGTGCCCACTCTGTCCACGCTTGAGGTGCCCTTCAGCCTGCCGTTGCACTGTGGGAGCCCCTTTCTGGGCTGGCCAAGGCCGGAGCCCGCTCCCTCAGCTTGCGGGGTGGTGTGGAGGGAGAGGCGTAAGCGGGAACCCGGGCTGCGCGCGGCGCTTGCGGGCCAGCGCGAGTTCCGGGTGGGCGTGGGCTCAGCGGGCCCCGCAAGTGCTGCAGGTCCGCCCGCAAGCCCCGGGTAGTGAGGGGCTTAGCACCTGGGCCAGTAGCTGCTGTGCTCAATTTCTCGCCGGGCCTTAGCTTCCTCCCCGCGTGGCAGGGCTAGGGACCTGCAGCCCGCCATGCCTGAGCCTCCCCCCGCTCCGTGGGCTCCTGTGCCGCCCAAGCCTCCCCGACGAGCGCCGCCCCCTGCTACACGGCGCCCCGGTCCCATCGACCACCCAAGGGCTGAGGAGTGCGGGTGCGCGGTGTGGGACTGGCAGGCAGCTCCACCTGCCGCCCAGGTGCAGGATCCAGTGGGTGAAGCCAGCTGGGATCCTGAGTCTGGGGGGGACTTGGAGAACCTTTATGTCTACCTAAGGGATTGTAAATACACCAATCAGCACCCTGTGTCTAGCTCAGGGTTTGTGAATGCACCAATCGACACTCTGTGTTTAGCTACTCTGGTGGGGCCTTGGAGAACCTTTGCGTCCACACTCTGTATCTAGCTAATCTAGTGGGGAGGTGGAGAGCCTTTGTGTCTAGCTCAGGGATTGTAAACGCACCAATCAGTGCCCTGTCAAAATGGACCACTCGGCCTTCTCTGTAAAATGGACCAATCAGCAGGATGTGGGTGGGGCCAGATGAGAATAAAAGCAGGCTGCCCGCGCTAGCAGCAGTAACCTGCTTGAGTAGTATTACGTGCTGTGGAAGTTTTGTTCTTTTGCTTTTCGCAGTAAATTTTGCTGGTGGTCGCTCTTTGGGTCCACGCTTCTTTTATGAGTTATAACCCATACTGTGAAGGTCTGCAGCTTCATTCCTGAAGCCAGCGAGACTAAGAACCCACCGCGAGAAACGAAGAGCTCCAGATGCCCCCTTAAGAGCTGTAACATTCACCGGGAAAGTCAGCCAGCGAGACCACGAACCCCACCAAAAGGAAGAAACTGAACACATCCCAGCATCAGAAAGAATAAGTTCTGGACACACTGCCTTTTAAGAACTGTAACACTCACCGCGAGGTTCCGCGGCTTCATTCTTTAAGTCCGTGAGATGAAGAACCCATCAATTCCAGACACAGTAGAACATAGCGAAAACATTGGAATGTTGCTTCTGAGATGAGGCTGCAATGTCATGAGACTATGACAGCTGTCATGCGCTTTCTCCCACTCCGTGGGAAGCACGTTGCCATGTTATGGGGTAGCGTTGTGGGGAGACCCCCCATGGCAAGGCACTGATCTCTGGCTAATAGCTATTGAAGACTTGAACTCCAGTAACAGCCCTGTGAGTGGGCATGAAAGCGGATCTTTGGAGGTCTGTTCATTGCGATGTACTCACATGAGTTTGGAAGCAGCTGCTCCCCCAGCCAAGCCTAGAATTGACTACTTCATCACCTTTTCCCAGAGACCCCCAACTAAACCACACCCAAATTCCTGCCCCAGAGGAAAAAAACTGTGAGGTGAGGTGATAATGCTTATTGTTTTTAACTGCCAAATTTTAGGGTATTTGTTATGCAGAAATAGAAATCTAACACATTCTTGTTCCAAATTCATCATTATCATCATTACATTCATTGATAAAGTTGCTACTTTGCTTGTCATTCCATTTTATATCTCAAAACTGACTTCTGGGGTCATTTCAAGTACCCTTTAAAGTTCTTTTAGTGAGAGTCTCGGTGGCAAACACTCTAGATTTTTTTTTCTCCAAAGTCTTTTACTTACTATTGAATGACTTAACTATACTGTATGTAGAATTGTAGCTATACTGTATATAGAATTCTAGGTTCTACGTTGATTGTTATTTTCTCTTTTCTATGAGAGTATTGCTGGAGCCAGCTGTCAGTCTATAACTTCTTTTAGGTAATTTCTCTTGCAACTTTTACCATTTTTTTTTTTCCTTTGGTGGTTTGTGGTTTTATCCTGGTTGGTCTAATTGTGAAATTTCTTTTACGAATCTCTGGGAAACTGTGGGAAGCACGTTGCTATGTTGTGGGTAGCCTGGTGGAGAGACCCCCAATGTAATGCACTGATATCTCTGGCTAATAAACATTGAAGAGTTATTGCATTTATTGAAGCTGAAATGCATGTCTTTTGCAGTTCTGGAAAATTTTCAGCATTTTTCTTCAGAAATTGCCTTTTCCCCTATTTTCTTCTATAGCTGTAGCTCCATATTTTTCGTTTTATTTCTCTGTGGTAGATTTTGAGTCATAGCTCTAGACCTTTCATCCAGTCCATCAGTTCTCCCTTCAGCTATTTTAAAAACAATGTTTTAACATAACCATTATTTTTTCATTTCAACAATTAAATGTTGCATTTTAAAGGGTCTTATTTTATTTTCAAACCTCCCTGATTATTTTGATACTATTTTTTTCTCATGTTTTGAGTTTTTTTAATTAAAGAAGCTATACATTTTATATACTGTATCTTTTATTTCTAAAATCTAATATCTTTGGATGTAGAATTCTACAGTTTGGGTAGAATTTTGCTGACTCTTCCTCATGGTGGTTTATTTCCTTGTCTTTTTGAATTTTGGACTGTGAGCTTATGGTTAAAAATTTAGAGACCCAGTGAAATGTGAATTGAGGGTATATGACCCCATAGAGATAATTAATATTTCCTTCTGCCTATATGCCTCAGATGTTCCCAATCAAGAACCACTCTACATTTAATTTCTAGGCTTAAGATTTTTTTGAACTATGAAGGTAGTATATACATTTGGGGCCCAAACCTAGATGATAGTATACTTAGATGACATATTTGCATGGAAGACTTAGTTTCCCAAGAGATTAGGCAGAGTTAGATAAGTTTTTTTTGTTTTCTGTTTTGCCTAATAGTGTTTTTCTTCCTCACCTGCTTTTTTCTGTTTCTTTTATTATTTCTTAATTTATTACTATTATTTTTTTACTGTGACTGTAACTCTTAGAAGGTTGTAGCTTCATGGAGGGATCAACTTTCCATCTCACATGGGGAAGGGCTTCCTTACCAAACTCATGCACAGCCATTAAAGCCTAAGTTCTGGTTAATGGACATTGACACGTTTTCTGTGGGTAGACACAACTTCACTGTTGGTTTTCCACTCTGTGTGTGTGTGTGTGTGTGTGTTTTGTTTTTTTTTGTTTGTTTTTTTTTCTGTTTCTGTTTTTGTTTTTGGCTTTGGCTTTGTTTTGGCTTCTGGAGACCTCATCATTTTGTTGTTGTTGCTATTTTTTTTATTGCAAGCTCAGCTATATATTTAAAAGATTTCTGTCATATTTTATCCATTATTTTCAGATACTTTATAGCAAGGCAGTTTTTTTATGACAGAAGTTTTTTATGTAGACAAGAAGACTGCCCATACAGTTTCCTTAGATGTGTGGGTAATTTTTGTGAACTGTCTTGGTTTCTCTTTTGCCAGTGTCCTGTTCATGAATGCTTTAGTGTGATGCTAGAGATGCGAGTGCACAAGGACACTGCAGGGTGCTTTGGTATGAATGTTTGTGTCCTCCCAGATTTATATGTTAAAACCTAATTCCTAATGCAATCATATTAATAGGTGGAGGCTTTGGGACATCATCAGGTCATGAGGGCAGCACCCTCATGAATGGGACAAGTGCCTTCATAAAAGAGGCCTGAGGGAGCTTGTTTGCCCTTTCTGCCATATAAGGACAGAGTCGGGAGGACCATCTGTAAAGCAGAGAGTGAGCGCTCCCTAGACACTGAACCTCTTGTCACCTTGATCTCCGACTCCCTGGCCTCTAGAACTGTGAGCAATGAATTTCTGTTGTTTATGAGTTACACGATCTAAAGTACTTTTTTATGGCAGCCTGAATGAACTAAGACACCAGTATTAATTTTCCTCAAAGATTTCTTCCTGTAAACACCTATAACTCTTTGCTTGAGGGCTTTCTGTGACTGTGGGAGTAAGCTTGTCCAATACACAGTTAAGTCGGAGTGCTGAGAGTTAATGCCTACAGGAACAGCTCTCAACAAATAACAGGTGGGAGTTGATAGATCAATACCCCAGTTTCTTCCCCCTTGAGATATGACATCTCTAAGGCATGTTTCACAAGGGCTCCCCAGGGTCCCCAGGACTGAACCCCAGTTACCCACAGTGGTGGCCTGCGCTGGCTTCTTTTTCTTCCCTGTCTCGCTTCTTCACTCTCCTGGTGCCTACCAGGATCATTTCTCAAACAAACTTGCACTCAATTCTTAGTGCCAGGGTCCATTTCTGAGGAAACTCTAAACTTAAGCAATATTTAAGCAAATTCCTGTAATTCACATTGAGTATGGACTATGTATACTGTACTAATTCCGATGTGGTTTCATCACCAGAGTAATTTACACCAGGTTTCTTGCCTTCGGCTGTCTTTTGGAAATGCATGTTTTAGTGGTGTTTGTGGGTATCGAGAATAATTTTTAATAGATTTGGGTCTGCTAGTTATCAAATCTAGCAATTCCAGGTGTTCAAATGGTGATGGGACTGGCATGAACTAGGTATGCTTGAATACTTGATTGTTGGGCTGATGAGAATATTCCAAACTGAACAAGTGGATACATAACTATTATATAATTAGCATTCTTCAGGACTCATGTGGTGACACCATTTTGATACAGAGGGTGGTGATGGTAAAATCGAACTGAAGGATGTTTCCTGGAAGTGCTTTGAGTCAAGAAGGGGAAGGAAGGTGGTAGGGTCAGGTGGCATAAAAGGCATGACCTGGCTAAACCCTTTTTCCATAGCAGACGCTGCAAATGGGTAGCCCCTCTACGGTTCCTAGCTTCCAGATGGGTTTTGTTGGTCTGCGCAATGTTGAAACACACTTAAAATAGTTGCCATATTTATAAATTAGGAGGCTGCACCTCTAGATGAAGAACTTTAGCTTCTTTTGAAAAATGAGGAAATCAGGCATCCCAGGTACTGCATTCCCACATGGCAATAAGATGGAGGGAAACAGCAGTTTCCCTCTTTAGATGAGGCAAGCACCATGGTCCCTTCTGCTTTCTATTGTATATTTCTTTTTTTTTCTTTTTTTTTCGAGACAGTGTCTCACTCTGTCTCCCAGGCTGGAGTGCAGTGGCACGATCTCTGCTCACTGCAAGCTCTGCCTCCTGGGTTCACGCCATTCTCCTGCCTCAGCCTCCTGAGTAGCTGGGACTACAGGTGCCCACCACTGCGCCTGGCTAATTTCTTGTATTTAGTAGAGACAGGGTTTCACTGTGTTAGCCAGGATGGTCTCGATCTCCTGACCTCGTGATCTGCCTGCCTCGGCCTCCCAAAGTGCTGGGATTACAGGCGTGAGCCACCGCGCCCGGCCTCTAGTGTATATTGCAACTGCTTTCTATTGTATATTGCAGCTTACCCTCTTCATCATCTGCCCTTTCCATGAAGATATTTCCATGTTTGACCCTCACTTTCCATCTTCTGGCATGGTTGAGATGTAGGGGATGACTGTGGTTTAGTAGGAAGGGAACTGTGGCCTTCTCTCTCCGTTGCCTGTTCTCCTACCACTGCTTCTCCCAAATGCTGAAGATCCACTCCCCCAGGAAAGAAGCTCTGCTGAGATCCTGAGATCAGGTAGTATTTACGTAAGAGTCTCCTGTTCATTGTTTTTGTTATTGACTCTAAAACCTCAGGCACATTTTTGTTAGGATACCTGATACTTGCTAGCAAGCCTGTACTCTGATCAGCCGCTGCTTGAAATAAACAAAGGGCCACTGGCAGTTTTCCCCTCAGGTATTTTTTGGAAGTGTGCACTTATTTACACATGAATTGCCCTTTAATTTAGTCAAAACTGAAGTCAAGTGTGAGGCAGAAAAGCTGTTGCTCATCCTGGAAGAATGACGTTCCTGTCTTCTCTCCAAAAAGCACAGTGTAGGTCAGTCTAGAATTTACTCTCTGGAGACTTGAGGCTCCTCATGCTTCCCTTTAGGAAAATATCCTACATCCAGTGATCCAGACCCGTGGCAAATGATCCCAGTGGAGAGAAGTGGAAGGATTTTGGTGTTTATCTGATGGATGAAGTTGGTTGTATGCAGCGAGCTTTTCTACATTTGGAGAAAAGACCAGAAGCAGGCCCTGGCCTCAAGCTTTGGGGTGTTAGGGGCCCAAGTGACCTGCTATATTTTCTTTTTTTTTTTTTTTTTTTTTTTTTTTTTTTTTTTTTTTTTGATGGAGTCTCACTCTGTCTCTCAGGCTGGAGTGCAATGGTGCAATATCCACTCACTGCAACCTCTGCCTCCCGGGTTCAAGCGATTCCCCTGCCTCAGCCTCTGAGTAGCTGTGATTACAGGCGTCCACCACCACACCTGGCTAATTTTTTGTATTTTTAGTAGAAATAGGGTATCGTCATGTTGGACCGACTGATCTCGAACTCCTGACCTAAGGTGATCTGCCTGCCTCGGCCTCTGAAAGTGCTGGGATTACAGGCATGAGCCACCGCGCCTGGTTGACCTGCTATATTTTCATCAGGCATCCCCTGTCATGGTTATGTGTTTACTAAAGGCTGTTGGACTCCTTAATGAGGCTCCTATCACAGAGGAAGGCAGCCCTTACCCTAAACAAGCTCTTGCTTTCACTGCCCTATGAAAATGCCATTTCTATGTAAAGTTTACAATAATAGTACAATTATGGAATTGCTTATCTTCTCAATATTATAAAGGAGCCCCCAGTGATCTCTTACATATTCAAAGGCCCTTATTTGTAGGCTCTTGGGCAAAACAGGACGTGGGGAAATTGCCCTAAGAGGAGGGCTGCCTAGTGAGAGGATCCTTTGTGCTTTGGGGATGTGGGTGTGCAGGAGAGGGTCTGGTCTTGGTTTATTATGTAGCATCTTTCACCTGACATTGGGTGAGTTTGCTTCATGTGATGGTTTTTATGCTTGAATAAGAAGCAGTTTGCCTGGGAGGGTGCTGTCGGGCTCTGCTGCTGGCTGGCTGGCTTTGTGACCATGGTTAGGACACATTGGTTTTCTGGCTCAGATGTTCCTTTTCTAAACAAGGAGGCACTTGGCTTGAAGCCCTGAGGCTCTTTATCTTGCCTGAACATTTTCCAGTCCTATAAGGGAACCCCGTCTGCCTGTGGGAAGGGACTGGCAGAATGCTGACCCCTCTCTTTGTGCCTGCAGAGCACCAGGCTTGTAGGGAAATAGGTCGTCATGTGACAGCTCTCTGCAACCCAATGCTTCACCAGTAGCCGCAAGGCAGACACTGTCAAAAACCAGTCAGTCAGCCTCACAGGACATCAAGCTGACATTCAGGAACCACTCCAGTGTCTCACCCCACACTGGGGCATGCTTCCCTCTTATCCCTAGCCACTAAGAACTGACTGAAAAGACCAAAGTCCTCTACGACTGCACTGATGGAATGCTAGAGGGTAGGTTAAGGGAAAGTGCTCAAGTTTCTTCTGCTGGTTGGAGTGAATGGCATTAACAATACCAGGCAGTTCCTAGAAATAGGAAGACTACTGTTTTGAGCTCCTGAAGACCTCATCTCTCGTGATTCTGTCTTTCAGAATTACTTAGCAGGCATGTCTAGGTGATAACAAAGATGGGAAGGAAATTGGGTCATGTCCCAAGCATTAGATGAGCACGGAGCCTCATTCTTAGTTATTTGGAGATTCCAAGTATTTCCATCCATATGGATAGATCAGAGACAACTATGCAGTTTTTTCTATCTTTGTAAGCAAGTAGGAGTAAGGACAAAGAGTTGTGAATGAGCCAGATAGTCTTGGGAAAAATGGAACAGAAGGACTGATCAGCTCAAGTGGTCCCATATACAAATTAGGCAGAATATCAGGCAACAGTCAAATCAGCTCCAGTGATGGCACAGAATATACAAATGGAAAGACAGGTCAATGCTATGTTCTAGGATGATGAACTAGCTAAGTGTTGTAAGGATTAACCTTGACCATGCAGACAAAGTTCAGCATGTCCTGTAAATCACCCCTCTAATGATATGTGGAGAAGGCAAGGGCAGGCATGAGTTTCCAATGGGAGAAGGCAAGGGCAGGCATGAGTTTCCAATGATGCCTGTAGGCCAGGTCAATATACAATAAGGGTGGGACAATGAGTTACAAGACACTGACTTAGCACAACTTAAAGAGCACATCACTTGAGAAAAAAAGCAGCAGGGTAGAGGGAACTTTGTGAAGGAAGAGGCATAAATTGTCTTAAGCATGTAATAGGTAAAATTTAAGTAAAGAGAGCTCAACTTGTGGACTGGCCACCAAGCCCAGAATCAATTGGTTGGTAAGTCAAAACCTGCATCCTCAGATGATCTGAAGAGATAGCCTTTATCTTTGGTCTGGAATGTATTAGACACCCAGAAAAATACTGAGATAAATATTACTGTAATCTTGGGAAAGTTTAGTAGTATAGGTAAAAATAAATGTCAGTACAAAGATAATAAAGAGATAAATGTAAACTCATGGTATCAGTATTTTGAAATGAGGTTAAGAAAAAAAATGAGTTGAATAATTTTGTGATAATTTGTGCTTTGTCTGCTTTTGAAATTTATAAGACAAATTAAAAAAATCTGCTATATTCGATTAGATGTTTAAGACAAATTTGTGGCCAGTGTACGTATGTCTGCAAAAATTAATTTGTTAAATTTACAAAGTTTTGACTTACTAGTTGTGTAAGTAGTGTTGAATTGTTTAAAGGGATATTTAAAAAATACAATATAAGACGACTAAATTGAGCACTAAAGCACACAGAGAGGCCCTTTGAATAAGAAAGATCTCAGCTATGGGGAAGGATTCTAATGGTTAGGAAGCAAAAGGAATCCTGATAATTCTGTTCTAGATTTATCACTGAAGCTGGTGTAGCTTCCACTGGCCAGAAGGGAAGGTGTCAGGTTTCAAATAAGAGAGCCTTTGGACGCCATTCTGGCTAACCAGGCAGACCTTGTGAACCTTAGACTGTAAACCGTGCTTGGAAACGCGAGTGGAGATTTCTGGGCTGGGGATTTTTTCTTCCTGGCCACTGTGTTGGTTACCACTCACTTCTGCTGAGGGCAGGGAGCACTGGAGGAGGGACACACAGTGATGCCTTCCTGGGTCCCATGCAGGGGCTGGTGGATGCTGACGTGCACACTACCTACTGCACACGAATCCCACAGACGGAGGTGCAAATATTGGTTTCCCGATAGATCCCACCACGCTTCTTCTGTTGCCCACTTGGTGTCTCTAGAACCCCAGTCAAAGCTAATGGATCAGGGGCCTCAGATATTGCCTTACATGGCATCCCTGGAAAGGAATGAACACCAACCTAGATGGTACACAGGTCGCGGATGGGTCACCCTTTTATTTCAGTGAAAACCCCGCCTTGTTCAGGTTTTGGAGGAAGCACCTGCCTCTCTATACTCCATCCTCAGCCCTGCTCCCGTTCTGTGCCTTCTGACTGCTCTAATTAGGATCGACAACCTCTGTCCACCTGGAGCTCCTGCCTCATGGGGCACCTGGTGCTGTCAGGTTCTGCCAGGAGCGCTGGCTGCACTACTGGAGCTGGGAATGGGTTCTTCCACCTTCGCTTTCCTTGGGCTCTGGAGAAAACAGAAACTGCTCTGGTCTTCACACTCCCCCTCCTGCGGGCCTGGGTCTGAAACCATGCCCAGGACCTCACAATCGCTGCTGCTTTAGGAATGTGTTGCCTATGCTGTAGTTTCTACAAAAATAGCTGCTGGGCTGGAGGACAGCCCTTCCCATTTCTACCTCTCCAAAGATTCTCCTCCCAAAACATGAGCGGAGCTGCCCATTAAGATTTTGCCTAAGGATGGAAATAGCTGTGAACAGCGTTTGGGAAAACGTTTCCTGCCTGCAGAAGAGGCCTCTTCAGAACTACAGACTCTTGGCTTTTTTCCCTCTCTAGGTTCCTATTCACTAAGTTACTTAGCATCTCGTTTAAAAAGTACTTTGGAGAATTAACTCAGGCTTGGAGGTTGGGCTGTAAAACGTTCCCACCAATGGAAACCCAGAGGATCTTGGTGGCGTGGTCACAGGAACACACCTACGTGGCTTGCTTCCCTTCTGGCAGCGTTCACTTTCATCTAGCATTAAAAAAAATCTGCACCACAGTGTTGGATATTCTTGTGTTTCTTTATCAACTTCCTCTCTTTAAATTTGGGCCAAAAGGCCTTGCCCTACTCAAGGCAGCTAGCTGTTCAATCCTGCGCGCCCAGAGTCATCCCTCTGAAATTGCATCTTTCTCTCTAGCTATTTGTCTACTTTTCCTAAATTATACTTTTATATCCTTGTTAATCTGGGAAAATAAATGAAGAGAGAAATTGCTGTCTGTATGCAATATTTGAAAGTATTGCTAAGTGACTAGATGACCTGTGAGGTTTTTCTTTTCTTTTTTTGATGTTTCATGCATGCTTGTTTTATGCTCCATTTCCTTCAGAATTATTAGGTTCTGAGGAAAGTAGCATTTTCCCCATCCATTTTCTCCTGGGGCAGCTTTTAGAATGTTTTCTATGAGCATTTTATCAATATATCCTGTTGGTTCTGCTACATGGCGAGGTTGTTTGCAGCTTACCCTCTATTCTGTACGGAGATGTTTTACATTCTTCAAGTCTGATTAATTGTCCCGTTTGGCCACTTTGATGGATGATTCAGGCACATGTGACTTGATGCAGGCTTTGTAATTAAGAGGCTTTTTGGGGGTCAGCTAAAGCACCTGCCCTGTAGCAAACATCAGCAGCATGGGAAGCCTATTTAGGCAGAGGTGGACTTAAAGGCCAACTGTCTTTAAGGGGAGGAGAGCAGGTGCTGATTGCAAGTGTGAAGCCTGGTGACCAGATGCCATGGTAAACTGACCCTGGATGCTTCCAGGGGGCTGCCAGGTCCCACAGGGACCACCCACAGCCCTCCACACACTGCTGAATAGGGCTTCCTCCCCTCCCCGCTCACTGACTACCTCGTGGTGGAATGGTTGGGGATGGGAAATAGGGCTTCCTCAGGAAATTAGCATGCCTCCTGTGCAGGAGGGCTCTGACTATAAAATATGCTGTTCTTAATGATAAGAGAGTGGCCCTACATATACTTCTTTTAATTTGGAAGATGTCATTTCTAGACATCACTTTGCAACAAACAAGAACTTGGTGCACATGGCTGAAAAACGGAGATGTGGTAGGGCTCCTTCTCTTCTGAGGTGGTCGTATGTTCCTGAGGGATACTTGGGAAGAGCCAAATTGGCCCAGTTCTGGATGTGCGTAGAGAGGATGGGGCTGGGGTGGGGTGGGGCAGGAGGGAAGCCATTCTTTCATCAGGAGATGAATCTCTCCCCTCCTTTCCTCTCCCTCTCTTCTTTTTCCACTCCCCCCTCCTCCCCCTTCTCTTCTTTCTCCCCTTTCATCTTCTTTTCCTCCTTCTCTTCTCCCCTCTCTTCTTTCTTCTCCCCTTCTCCTCTCCTGCTTCTCATTTCTCTCCTCTTCCTCCTCTTCCACCTCCTCCTCCTTCTCCTCTTCTTCCCCACCTCTTCCTCATCCTCCTCCTCCCCTTCCCTCCTTCTTGTTCTCTTCCCTCCTCCTACTCCTTTTCCCCTTCCTCTTCTTTCTCCCCCTCTTCCTTTTCCTCTTTTTCCTCCTCCTTCCGCTCTTTTCTCTCCTCCTCTCTTTCCCTCTCCCTCACCACCTCCCTCTCTTCCTGATCTCCTCTTCCTCCCCATCCTTCTTTTGCTGGTCCACAGACTGCTTGGCGTTTTCACTTTTTTACCCGAAGACTTATCTTTTGTGCTGTGCCTTCTGCCTGGTCTCACCCTGTATTTCTGGGATCTGATGGCATGACTTACTCCCTACTAGAGTTCTATGACATAGCTCTATGTCACTGAGCATGCAGTAAGGACACATAGGTTTGTATCATGGCTCAGGTATATTACTTTATTAAAATGCTTAATGTGTGTACGCTTCAGTTTCTATATCCAGAAAATGGAGATAAACTTCCTATCTACCTGTTTGTAAGGATTAAATGAGGCTTTGTCAATGGAAGGACTTCATAAATTTTAAAGTGGCATGCAGAAGGGAGAGGTTATTATGACAATGATGATTCTCTGAAAAGGATCTTATAAATACCTTGCAATCATGGTGGGTTTACCATTGAGTTCACTTGCTCATGCAGCCTCTCTGTGGGTAGAATCATCTGGAAGGCCTGGAACTTGAGACTCTGATCTGGCGAAGAGTTTAAGAGATTCCTTCCTACTCTTGGCCAGGGATTGGCAAGCCTTTTCTAGAAAGTTCCAGATGATTATAACGCTCTGTGGAGCCTTGCCATGTGGTCACTGTCACACTACCTTGCCATTATAACACGAGTAGCATAAACAACATCTAAAAGAATGGGTGCAGCTGTGTCAAATAAAACTGTATTTATGGACACAGAAATTTGAATTTCAGATAATTTCCATGTGTCATGAATATTCTTCTTCTTTTGAATTCTTTAACATTAAAAATATAAAGATCATCCCTAGCTCACAGGCCATATGCAAACAGGCACCGAGTGGGGTTTGGCCTGCGGGCTCTAGTTCGCAAGTGTCTGCCTTACACAACTTCTAGGAGCCACTTCTCTGTCCAGGTAGACTGTGAGTATCAGGGAAACCAAAGGGGGACATAAGTCATTTGAGCATGTGTCACAGGTCCTCCTCTGCCTGGTTGATGTCAAAGCATGTGAAATTATAACGCTGGGCCCTTGCCAAAAAATACAATCCAGAACTCTATCTGACCCTTACAAACATCCAGTAACAAAAACAATGGCAACAATATTTATGGAGGATTGCCCACAGGACATGCAGCTTATCCATTCCTGTACACAATCTAACCTTCACTCTCAAAGAAGGCTGACCTGTGATTGCTGTATGCTATATTCATGGAGGATTCTGCCTTGGCCCTTTGCAGAATGTATCTTGATTCTGGCTTCCTGACCTGCACCAAGGGGCATCATGAGAAACAGCGGGTTTGAGTCACCATGGCCTCTCAGTAGACACACCATCCAGGATGCCATCTACTCTGGGGAGAAATTCCCCTCATCGCTCATCCCTATATCAGGAAAAGCTGAGCATCTTAAAAACTAATTTTATTTCAGAAACAATGCCATGTCCTTGTTTGATTTGGCTTCAAGGAAGCTCAGAGTCTATTATACCTCAATCAGTTGTAAAATACTGTACAAAATCATCAGCAGCAAAGATACATTGAGTGCACAGTATGTGCTAAGCACCTTTCATATAGTCCTTCTCACATAATCTTCACACAGCCCTTTGCGTAGGTAATATATTCTCCCTATGACATTAGGCTAAATAATGGTCCCCAAAGATGTCTACCTCTTAACCCCTGGAACATGTGAATCTTATCTTACTTGGCAAAAGAGACTTTGCAGATGTGATTAAGGATCTTGAGTTGGGGAGATGATCCTAATCACAAGGGTCCTTACAGGAAGGAGGCAGAGGGAGCTTTGAAACAGAACAGGAAGGCCATGTGATGATAGAAGGAAGCAAGATGCTACACTGTCAGCTTTGAAGATGGAGGAAGAAGCCTCAGGCCAAGGAATGCACCTATACAAGCTGGAAAAGAAAAGAAAGGGATTCTCCCCCAGAGTTTCTAAGGGAGCAAGGCCCAGGCCCTGTCTACCCAGTGAAATTGATTTTGGACTCTGACCACAGAACTATGAGCAAATACATGTGTTGTTTTCAGCCACCAAGTAGAAATTTGTCACAGCAACAACAGGAAACGAATACACCCTCCTTACAAACAATAACATGAGATCTAGAGTGTTGCCCAAGATTTGAATGAGCTTTGCTGACTCCAGATTCTAAGCTCTTACCTCTCATGCTGCTCTATCTGTTACATGTGTCCTAACCTCTCCTGCCTTTATGATTTCCCCTTAGCCAACTCAGGCAGGTTTAACAAATTATATAGACTGGGGGGCTTAAACAGCCAACATTGATTTCTCAGAGTCCTGGAGGGTTGAAATCTGAGATCCGGGAGCCAGCAGGAGCAGGTTCTTGGTGAGGGCTCGCTTCCTGGTTTACAGACAGCCACCTTCTCATTGTGTCCTCATGTGGTGAAAAGAGATCTCTGGCCTCTTCTTTTAAGATATTAATCCCATTTATGAAGTCTCCATTCTCATGATCTAATCACTTCCTAAAGGCCCCACCTTCTAATGCTGTCACACTGGGATTAGGGTTTAACATGAATCTTCAGGGGACACAAACATTCAGTCCATAGCACTTTCCCTTATGCTTCCCCTCACCCTGCTTCTTCCACTGCTGCTTATTTCCCCTTCCAATCATAAGTATTTCTGTCATCTCCTCACATCTTCGTGTATATGCTGGAGGCAGCATATAAATAAATATATCGGTGGGTGTTTGTGGTTTGTGCATGGAGTGGAGTCTCTGGGCTTTTGTAACCGTGGGACTCGTGATTTAGCAAACCCAAGGCCCTGACTGTGTTTGCTCCTCCTTTTGCTTTAGTAAAGACAGTGGCTCTCTTCTTTCCTGTGTCATTGACAGTTGGCCAGGCCAGGACTTCTGCTTTTTCAGAAAACTGCTTACTTCCTAGTCAGTATTCAGAGCCCAGTAACTGCTTGTGAAGTTTCCCTTCTCCTCAAGGTTATCAAGACTGCGGAAATGATGTCAACTTAGGCCTTAGTGGTTTCTTTCCTGAATTATTGCTCCACCTGGAGAAAACCCTATTTTCAGCCTCAAATAGCTTCCAATTCAAAATCTACACTCCTGCTTACTGCCCGAGGATCTTTCCAAAATGCAACCTCCTGGCCAAAGGGAGGCAGCCCGCCATTGTCTGGGGTCTTGCTCATGTCTTCCACTTCCTCTTTCAGCCCTTTGTGTTTTCAGCCCTCCCGCAGTTCCCTGAACCCTGTGCCTGGTCCCATTTTCCTGCCTTCACGCATGTCATTGTCTCTGCCAAACTTCTCCTCTCACCCCTCCTTTAGTCCACTTTGCCTGCTGATTAAACTCTAGACCACAGGGAGTTTTAGAGCATGGGTTCTGGAGTCAGGCAGGCTGGGGATCAATTTGTTTTAATTCCATCAATAGTTCCTCAATGTCTTACCTTCTCTGTGACCCTGGGGATATAATTCTGCCACTATTAGCTGTGTGGCCTTGGAAAAGTTCACTAGTCATAACATCTTTATCCCTCAGTTTACACATCTGCAACATAAGAATGATGCATGTAAAGTACTTAGCCTGGTGGCCTCCACCAACATGAGGTGTTATCATTAGTATTTTCATCAGTCTTTAAGCCTCAACTTAGGCTTGGTGACTCCTTTTCCAACAGATCCAGATACCAACCTCACCATCGTCTGACTACTATGTCCCTGGTGCACAATGCCTGCCTTCACTACAGCCTTTCACACAAAGCATTTACCCTGTTGCTTAATTGTCTGATCGTCCCACTCCCTTGGATGAGAACTGCATCTCTTCCATCTCTTATTCTGAGTGGCTTGGCTAAGACATTCACTGACTCCATGGGGAAACTTCACCTACAGAGGAAAGAGCCATCCTCCTGTGGGCAGGTGATGTGTCCTTGTTCTTTCCCTGACGTGCCCAGTCCTCTTGCAAGTGACTTGAAAGGATGCACCAGCCTGGCTGCAGGCAGAGGGTGAGTCTGGGAGACAGATCAGCTGTGGCAACCTTTATGCAAGGATGAATTGGAAAAACCAACCCTGACCAGTCCATTTATCTCACATCTTGCTTCTCATCCTGCACTGAAAATGAATGGGATACTAGTGGTCCTGACGCCATGGGAAAACCTAGAGTGACAAGATCAGCACTTCCAGCATCCAGTCGTTCATTCTCTTTTACTTATTTTTAATTTTTGTGTGTGTGTGCACTTCAATGTCCCTTATTTTTAAAAGTGAGGTCAAATTGAACAAATGGCCCTGGTGACTAGAGTGACCATCTGGACCTCTCTGGGCAGCTCTTTGGGTGGCAGTTGTAGGATCAGGTACTTGCTCAAGCACTGCATCCTCATCACTCCCCAGCTTAGAGTGAGGCCAATTCAGATGCTTAATCAACTTCTCTTTTCCATCTCCTGTAGTTCAAACGGCATTTTGCCCCCATCTCCCTCCAAAGTGGCAGATATCACAATGCCATGCGTTTGCACAAGCCAGTCCCTCTAACAGCAGATGTGATCCTGAGGCTGGGCTCCTGAGTTGCTCCCCACTTGGGAGCCCTGTATGGGATGAATTGCATCCCCTCAAATTTATGTATTGAAGTCCCAACCCCCAGTACAGTACAGCCCCCTTATCCAAGATTTCACTTTCCAAGGTTTCGGTTACTCTCAGCCAACTGCAGTCCAAAAATATTAAATAGAAAATTCCAGAAATAATTCATTAGTTTGACATTGAGCATCCTCCTGAGTAGCATGATGAAATCTCGTGCTGCCCAGCCCACCAGGAACACGAATTGTCTAGAATATCCATGTTGTCTCTACTACCGGCCTGTCCGTCACTTAGTAGCTGTCTCATTTATTGGGTCCAAAAACCATAGTATATGTAGGGTTCAAAACGATCTATGATTTCAGGCATCCACTGGGAGTCTTGGAACGTATTCCTAGCAGACTGGGGGGGGACTACGGTATCTTAGAATGTGACTGTATGTGGAGATAGGGTCTTTTTTTTTTTTTTTTTTTTTTTTAAGACAGAGTTTCGCTCCTCTTGCCCAGGCTGGAGTACAATGGCACGATCTTGGCTCACTGCAACCTCCACCTCCTGGGTTCAAGCAATTCTGCCTCAGCCTCCCAAGTAGCTGGGATTACAGGCGCGTGCCACCATGCCCAGCTAATTTTATATTTTTAGTAGAAACAGGGTTTTTCCATGTTGGTCAGGCTGGTCTTGAATGCTTGACCTCAAGTGGTTCACCCTCCTCAGCCTCCCAAAGTGCTGGGATTACAGGTGTGAGCCATCATGCCCTGCTGGAGATAGGGTCTTTAAAGAGCTGATTAAGCTAAAGTGAGGCCATGGAGGTGGGCCCTAATCTGATATGATTGTGTACTTATAAGAAGAGGAGATGAGGACACAGATGTACACAGAGGGAAGAGCACATGAGGAGACAGGGAGAAGATGCCACCTAGAAGCAAAGAAGAGAGGTCTCAGGAGAAACCAGCCCAGCTTCCAGAGCTGTGAGGAAATAAATCTGTTATTTAAGTCCCCAGCCTGTGGTGGTTTGTTATGGCAGCCCTAGCTGACTAAGACACAGCCCGATTGGTTGGTTCTGACACTTCTTACCACAGTTCACTGCATTCTCTTCACTGAATTGCAATTATCTGTTGGCGTATTGGGTTGGCCCGCTGGGGTGACAGGCCTGGCATATGCACTTTTATTATCTCTAGCACTGAGAAACCCTGGCATTGATAGCTGCATGCGAAGTGCTTGCTGAATTCATGAGAGCTACTGCTGCAGTGAAAGCTCTGAAAGTGTCCAGAGAGGGACAGGAATCTTCTCTTTGGGCAGAAGTGATCTTTTCACTTCACTTGCAAAGTACATCAGATGGAAAGGTAGCCCAGGTGTACGGTGTTGAGGAAGGGCCTACTGGAAGCTGCTTTTCCTAATTTTCAGCTGGTGAGGTTTGATGATTTGGTAGACTCACTGATCATTTTGTTCTTTTTTGGGTTCTGTGGTGTTAGTAAATGGCTATATTTAGATTCAATTTCTCTTTCTTGTACTCTTTGTTGTTCTGCCATTCTCTTCCGCTCCCAGTCCTGGCCCCACCGCTCCTTCTTCCAAAAGCTCCCAGTGGCCCTCCCAGACCTGCTGCAGGTGGAGAAAGTGTTCAGCTGCTGGTCCCCTCTCCCCTCCCACCCCAACTCCAACTGAGCACTAGCGGCTCACATCTGTGGGCCTTGCTTTCCCCATAAACACACATGGGTGTACTGCAAGGGCTTACCGCAACTCTGGTAGAGCACTTCCAAGCCGCTGTCGCTACAGACCACGTGTGTGGGCCAGGCTTTCCCACCGCCGCCTCCACTGCAGCTGGGAAAAATCAGAGTCCAGAGGAAGAGAGTGGCTGTGAAACCCTTCATGGTGGGGGCCTGTATGGGACACACAGAAAAATAACCGGCCAATAAAAAGCCTGTAAAATTTCTTCCTCTCCCCTCACCAAGGCAGTTGGATGTTCAGTTTCACTTCTCAAATTTTAGACTCGCTGGGAACCACAGTCAGAAGTAAAAGGCTGAGAGCAGAGGCATTTGAATACTGTTCCCCCAGGACCTTGAATCTACAGGTGTGGCTGGTCTGGTCTGGGGTAGGATGCGTGCTGACTTTCTGCTTTCACAGGGAGAGGGTCAGTAGTGATGCGTGAACTTACCTCTTGGGGGCCCCTCAGAACAGCCTCCACCCCCAGGTGAGGCTGTAAACTTGGGAAAGACAAAGCGCAGGCCACCATCTGTTTCCCATCTCCAGCCCCCGAGTCTCTGCAGGCTCTTGATGCAGGCTGTGTATGGACCCAGGGACCTGGCTGCAGCCAGCAGGCAGCAGTTGATAGCACGAGGGCTACAGAATGACATTTGGAATCTGGAATGAGGCTTTGGCCCTATTGTCACTTTCCTCTCCTCTGGCTTTGGCTCTGCTCTTAGGTTTGGGATTTTAGCAGTGAATTGTCCAGCTGCAGAACAGACCTTGTTTTGGGAGCTGCAGATGTGGTCTCTGGAGATGAGGCAGAGGCAATAGCCCTGAGAAGTGAGCCGTGTTCTATTTCTGGGTTTGGCTTGGTAGAAAAAGTAGGAAGGGTGGGGAGGTGGGGCCACCCTTAAGGAGGCTGGTTTGCTGGTTTTGGTGTTAGTGGGATCATTGACATCACATCTCACTTTCTCTTCAAAGCCAAGATTCTGTCTTCCTTCTTCCATGTATCTCTATTCTGCTGCAGGACAGCAAGGTTTCTCAGTCTTGATTCCTCAACCCCGCCCCAGCTTCACCTTAATGTAAGAGGACCAGAGTCAGTGCCAAGGTCAGCAGATTTCAGGAGCAATAGAAAACACTATTTTCCCTGGGAGGAACAGCATTTTTCTGAATGCACTAGGTAAATTTACTATTTCTGCTGATGGCTAAGCAAAAATTAGAGTTAGCTCAAAACTTTTTTTGAAATAGGTGGAACATAATTACCAATAAATTAATTGGTAAATAATTTGGATTTCTTGATAGACATCAGAGAGTGGTCATTTGGAGAAGGAACAGTTGTGGATTGATTATTTTTAGGTACCTCTGCAAATAAGTTCAGTGATGATGGCTTTCAACAGCAGTTCTCAAAGTGCGGCCTGGGAAGATGACAGCCTCAGCTTCCACTGGGGGCTTGTTAGAGATGCAAATTCTGGGCTACTCAAGACCTATTAAATCAGAAACTCTGGGGGGCGGGACTCACCATTCTGGATTTTCACAAGCCCTCCAGGTGTGCCTGATGCAGTCTCAAGTTTGAGAACTGCTGGCTTTTACAGAACATAAAGCGAAGGTTGAGCCCCAAGGGAGTGGTGGGAAGTTGCTCTAAGAAGAGACAAGGTGGCCCCTCTGGCCTGTGTGAGCGGAAGGCAGCTGCGCTGTGAGCAAGATCTCGGGAGATGAGAGTCTGAAGCTTATGGTGAGAGCAGCGGCCCTGGTGGAAGCGTGGTAGCCCCTAGAAGGTCCAGGATGGAACACAGAAGCTTTCCCTTGGGATATGTGAGTGCTCCAGCAGTTGTAAAGAGAGCTCTGAACATATGTGAGTGAGGAGAGCAATTGAGGGTGAGAACTTCCTTCCCTGCAAAGTGCGTCATGATTGACACTGGAGGAGGAGTCCAGGAGTGCAGGGCAGGGAGCAGAAAACCTAGCAGAGAGCTGTGGGCAGCTGTGGCAGGGAAATGGTCTTAGTATGTTCTGGCTGCCATAACAAATACCTTAGACTGGGTGGCTTAAATGACAAGCATTTATTTCTCACCATTTTGGAGGGTGGAGGTCCAAAGTTGGAGATTAAGGTGCTAGAAGATTCAGTGTCTGGTGAGGGGCCTCTGGTTCACAAATGGTGCCTTCTGGCTGTGCCCTCACATGGTGGAAGGGGCGAAGGGTTTCTCTTAGGCCTCTTTTATAAAGGCACTAATCCCATGTATGAGAGCTCCATTCTTATGACCTAATCACCTCCCAAAGGCCTTTCCTCCTAATACCATCACCTTGAGGCTTAGGATTTCAACATATGAGTTTGGGCAGGGCCACAAACATTGGCTTTATTGCAGAAACAGTGTCATCTGAAGACAGGGGTACAGATTCTTGAGAATCAAAAGACCTGGAAATGAAAGGAATCATAATTCAGGGATCGCACTAGCATTTAGAAATATTCCAAATGGACCAATCAGGAACCTTGTGATCATGGTGACCCTAGGACATTGGTCTTCAGGCTAGAGTGGTCTTCAGGGCATCAGCGTCAGCTGGGGGGCTTGTTAACATGCAGATTGCTGGACCCCACCCCAGAGTTTCTGCTCCTGTGTGTCTGGTGAGGCCTGAGAACCTGTGTTTCTAACATGTTCCCAGGTGATGCCAGTGTTGTTGATCTGGGGCCACATTCTGAGGACCTCTGGTTTAGCTTACAGAATTTGATCATTTGCAGAATGTACAATTAAAAAAAATCTTCTTAATAAAATGTTTTGTTTTATGACAGATGGCATTTTATATAACACATATATAACATACCCATATAGGATTAAGAGTAAGCCACATTCTCTAAGGAATTCTACTTACTAGTTCTGCCTACTGAAAATGGGATTTGATTGAAATCATTAGTTATGGCCGTCTAGTTCAGAAATCAACCCATAATGATGTCTGGAGTTCTTTAACTAGAACCTTTATAAAGACAGCCAGAGTGTTCTTTGAGAATGTCCTATTCCCTAATTATAGAATAAAATTAGAATCGGTTTATGGTAGTTATTTAAAATATGGTTATGTCTACGTAATGGTAACCAAACACACACATACTGTCAGGCTTTGATGCTGACTTCTAATCTCTTAGCAGGCTGTAGCTGAAGAAGCTGTGCTCTGGTCTCATTCAGATTTCTTTTCTACTTTTTGGACAATCCTCCTCTTCTTCCATGTCTCACACTGCTCTCCTTCATATATATATATATATAATTTTATTTTATTTTTTTGAGACGAAGTCTCACTCTGTCACCCAGGCTGGAGTGCAGTGGCATGATTTCAGCTCACTGCAACCTCTGCCTCCCGGGTTCAAGTGATTCTCCTGCCTCAGCCTCCCAAGCAGCTGGGATTATAGACGTGTACCACCATGTCCAGCTAATTTTTGTATTTTTAGTAGAGACAGGGTTTTGCCGTGTTGGCCAGGCTAGTCTTGAACTCCTGACCTCAGGTGATTCACCCACCTCAGCCTCCCAAAGTGCTGGGATTACAGACGTGAGCCACTGCACCCACCCTTGCTTTCCTTTCATAGAGGTCTTCTTGAGGACGGTGCCTTTCTTTTCTTGCAGAGTAAAAATATTCTTATCAAGATGACCATCCCTAAAGCCGTTCTTAAGGAGAAAATGTTTGTTTGAGGAGAGACTTAAAGAATCAAATGTGAGACTCTGGGGGCAGGAGTCCAGCTATGTATGTAAGCAAGTAAGGGTGAAGCTGTGCCACAAGAGAAAATACAATACTCCAGGGAGTGAGGGGAGAAAAAAGAAAGGCCTGGAGGGGAGAGAGGAGAGGAGAGGAGGAGAGAAGGGGAGAGGAGAGATAAGCAGGTGATTGGCTGCTGTGGAGTGGAGGGAAGCAGCCTGCCAGCAGGTGGGACAAGCAAAGGTCCCTTAGGAACAGATTCTGCATTGCTTCCTGTGCAGTGTGCAATGTGACAGCCCTCTCCACTCTGTGACCCACAAAAGGTCAGGGAAAGGGGGTTTGGGCCAATGTAACCTACATTACATGTGCCAGTAGATGGCAGACAGTCCTAACTAGTCTTGACGCTACACAGTGATGATGTAGCACTCTGTCTCCAGTGGCAAATGTACCTTCCTCATCATTTGTATCCGACTGTGGGTGCTCTCCTCTCATTTCCCTCAGATCTTTATTATATTAGGCAAAAATTTCCCTTTGCATAGCGCTGCTACTTTGGTTTTTTCTCTGTGGCCTGTCTGAGTTTCTGCCACACTGCAGTGGGAAGAGACAGGTTTGATCACATCCTGCCTTTGTCTTCTAGATCAGGGGGTCCCTAACCCCTGGGCCACAGACCAGTACTGGTCCATGACCTCTTACAAACTGGGCAGCACAGCAGGAGGTGAGCGAGGCTTCATCTCTATAGCTGCTCCCCATTGCTCGCATTACCGCCTGAGCTCTGCCTCCTGTCAGATCAGCAGTGGCATTAGATTCTCATAAGAAAGCAAACCCTATTGTGAACTGTGCATGCGAGAGATCTAGGTTGCACACTCCTTATGAGAATCTAATGCCTGATGATCTGTCACTGTCCCCCATCACCCCCAGATGGGACCATCTAGTTGCAGGAAAACAAGCTCAGCCCTCCCATTCATTCTGTATTATGGTGAGTTGTATAATTCTTTCATTATATATTATAATGTAATAATAGAAATAAAGTGCACAATAAATGTAATGCACTTGAATCATTCCAAAACTACCCACTATCCACCCTTCTATCCATGGAAAAATTGTCTTCAACAAAACTAGTCTCTGGTGCCAAAAAGGTTGGGGACTGCTGTCCTAGATTGAGTGCAACCTGAAAACTGCTCCCCTCCTGTGTAGAAGTCAGGAAACCATGCAACTTCCTGTGTAACACTGTTTCACAGCCCCCTTGACTGACTGCTGAGGTTTTACTTTTTAGTTAGTTTCAAACCCTATGTTATATGGGCTATACACGTATTTTGTGGAATTGATGCCAGCCTACTAAGCTTTTCAGTAGTCTTTCTCACGATCTCTCAGACTTCTGGAAGACTCACTGCACAGAAAGTGTGAGATGCCCCCAAAGTCTCTTGGGCTCTTGATGTCACATAATCTGTATATGTATTTGATAGAAATGTATAGAAACCAACTGTATGCTTTCTACACAACTAGGGAAAATTCATCTGTCTGCTTGCTTCAGGTTCTCCCACTCATTTATCCAACAAATATTTATTAAGCACCTCCAAAATGCTTACATTTCCCAGCACCAGGAATACAGCAAAACAAAGTTCCTGTTCTCAGGGAGATTAACTTTTAGTGGGAAAAGACAGACAATATTTTTAGTACAATTGTTTAATAAAAGAAGAGACTGCTTTTTGAAAAGCTTCTTGGATTTCACAAGGAAAATTGGAGTAAGTGTTCTGAAATACTTTCAGCTGGCTGTTTATTGTGTATATACAATAAACTTTTTTTCTTTAATTTGCTCCAGACTGGTAGCTCATTAGGCCTACTACAATTTGTCCATTGGAGCAAACACGTATTGATAACCCTATCTTGGACACTACCCTTTCCTCATTTCCTTGTTACCCCATTTGTTATTATTATTAATATTTTATTATTCTGAGGACATACTATGCAAAGTACTTTTCAAATAAGTCTACATATACTATGGCAAACTACAAACAGAAATGGTTTTTGTTGGTGTGAGGAACACGTATGCTGGGCCGGGAAAGAGGTGAGTACTTATAGATCAGTCCGATCAATTTTCCAGTGATGAAAAGAGCAACACATTGCAGCATCTGGTTAAAGTCAAAGAAATTGCTCTGAGCTGCAGAGAGGGGAGCTCTAGCGTGAAAGGACTGACGACCATTGTATAAAAATCCTCTGCAGCATGGGACAAATTAGCAACTTGCAGCTATGACTCTGTTCCTCAAATTGAGAATGCTCTCAAGATCTCATCTTGATAAGAATGAAGTGATTTCAGTAAGCCGAAGGAAAAACACTGGGGAGGGAACCAGAAATGGGATGAAGAATGCAAAGAGTTCTTTTACGTGCTATGAAGAAGGGGTCCTCATTCACTGTTGTAGATAGGATCCCAGGCTCTGGCTTCAGTGTGTCCCTCCAGTTCTGGCTAATTCCAGAATTTCTGGCTGCCATTATGGGATTTGCACTTGGCACATATAATCCAAAGTATTGGAGATCCCATTTTGCTGGACTGGCAGGTGGTATTTGGAATAAAATAATTTACCTATTCTCTGGATCAGACTCTTAGGGATGTTGTTGAGTTCCCTCTCCTGGCAGTGGCCGGCAGATCCACCCAGAATTCTTCTGAAGAGGTCTGATGAGGTCTTGTTCAGAATTCTTCTGAAGATGTCTTCTAATTCCCTGTAGTAGTAAACATCCTAGCAGTAATTTTGACATACAAATAATGGCCTTTGAAGTAGCCTGTGTTTTTTCTTTTTTGGATTGAATAAGAATATCCGAAATGCACTTCTGTTATGTCTCAGGCATTCTTCTAAGTGCATTCCATGTATTCTTTGATCCATTTCATCCTCACAGCAGCCTTACAAGGTAAACACAGCTCTGTCATCCACTCTTTACCCCACCTCCCTGCCCAACCCCTGGCTCTGCAACTCTGAAATAAATTCCAAAGTCTTCCAAGTCTACAGAGGAGGAAATTCTTTTTTTTAAAGGTAGTTCTTTTGGTGGAAAAATCTCATCTAAACTGATGAGACTGTTTATAGTTTTAATTTATCTCAACTGGGTGTATTTCACTATGTTTTGCTGCATACTATTAATGTGATTGATTTGTGGTTAATGGGTACTGTACCAGACTCCGTTAGGAGTGTTATAAAATGTGAACTCTATTACCTTTCTAAAATCAAGAAATTCTGATTTATAAAACACATCTGTACCGAAGGATTTCAGGGAAAGGATTCTGGGCCTGTTGTATGATTCTTGTTCTCCTGATGAGGAAACTGAGGCATAGTGAGTGACGCATCCAAGATCATACACACAGTAGGGCCATTGGAGGTCAGACAGTGAAACTCCCTTCTTCAGTTCTTGACCTCTGAGAAAACGGCCTCTTTCCTACTACGCCCAGTGGTTTGCTTATCTTCCACTGTAGTGATAGCCCACAAGTGATCCCCAAGTGCTTGGAAACTGAGGGGACTTGGACCATGTAGCTTCAAGAAGCAGGTCTCACCCAAGCTTCTGTCTCCCTCAGATGGAGGGAGAGGGGAAAGGCTGAGGGGAGAGGGCTCAAAGGGAATGGCCTTTGTGGTCTTGTAGGCCTGGGCTGCATCTTGTCTCTACTCTGTGGTATCAGTAGGTCACATAAGTTACATTCCCTTAATGTAGGTTAATTTACCTATAAAAAATCAATCATAATAAATGGTAACTTTTATTACTATTTTTATTGTTAGAGGAAACTAGATATCTGGAGGTGCCTTAAAGCTGAAAGCTTCTTTGTCATCTAGTGTGCAGACTCAGCTGGGGCCAGGTCCTCCATAGTGAGGGACTACATGGATGAACCTATGTGATACATAATAGCTTCTCATTAGAAATGTAAAATAGCCACGGAAAACAGGACTCAGTTCAGAAGAGAGAGGCTTGGCAGATGGCTCCTGCAGGAGTCTGATGAGTGGTGCCTTTCCTGTCTCCACTGCACACAGATGAAAACAAAGGGTCAGATGACATCACGGCACGCTGCTTCATAGACACAAATTGAGCTCTCTGCTTTTACTTTGAAGCTTGGATATGTGGGCTGCAATTGTAAGGTTATTGATGAACAAAGCAGGTGTTCAAAGGGTGGAAGGGGAAGCATTTTGTACTTTTCAGACAAAATGGTGCTTCATTGGCTGTGGCCTCTGCTCACCCGGAATTTGTATTATAATGTCCCTGGTCCTGAGCTGTCACTTCTTGCCCAAAAAGCTGGGCTTTCTTTTGTTACTGTTTTTGTTGTTGTTATTTGTTTGTTTTAGAGATAGTCTTGCTCTGTTGCCCAGGCTAAAGTGCAGTGGTGTGATCATAGTTCATTGCAGCCTTGAATTCCTGGGCTCAACTGATCCTCCCGCCTCAGCCTCCCGAGTATGGCACTAAAGGCATGCACCACCATACCTGGCTAATGTTTTATTTTCTAGAGACAATGTCTTGCTGTCTTGCCCAGGTTGGTCTCAAACTCTTGGCTTTAAGCAATCCTCCCCCCTGCCCCGGCTTAACCTCCCAAGTAGCTGGAACTACAGGTGTGAGTCACTGCACTCAATCTTTGTTACCATTTGGAAGTGTAAGATTGGAAACTCCCCATCAAAGTCACTGAAATAGTATTTCCACTTGATATGGTTTGACTGTGTCCCCACTCAAATCTCATCTTAAATTTTCACATGTTGTGGGAGGTAATTGAATCATGGGGGCAGGTCTTTCCCATGTTGTTCTCATGATAGTGAATAAGTTTTACTAGATACAGTTTTATAAGGGGGAGTTTCTGTGCACAAGCTCTCTCTTTGCCTGCTGCCATCCATGTAAGACATGACTTGCTCCTCCTTGCCTTCTGCCATGATTGTGAGGCCTCCCCAGCCATGTGTAACTGTAAATCCATTAAACGTTTTTCCTGTATAAATTATCCAGTCTCAGGTACGTCTTTATTGCAGTATGAAAACAGACTAATACATCATTTCATTCCACGTGTGTGTCACTGCCCTAGATGGGACTTCTCATGGCCTCCTGGGATCCACCATGGCCCCCTTCCAAATCCATTATCCAGTCTACACCCAGAGCTATCCTGTCTGAAGGCGCATCTGCCAAGGGATGCCCTGCCAAAGCCTCTCAGTGCCCCCTGCACGTACCTTTGAGGCCTCGCATGCTTTGGTCTCTTCCCATCCAGCCTCCCTGGCTGTGGGCACTCCAGCCTTGCTGCCTGCTCTCCCCTGCCCTGGCATCTCTAGTGCCTATCCTGGACTGCCCTTCCTTACCCCTTTTTTACCATATTGCCTGCACTTCCTTGAGAGTTCAACTCAGTGCTTGCTTCCTGAAGAAAGATGTTCTGTCAGGGCTGGGGAGCTCCCACTGAACTCGGCTCCTATAGCCCTGTGACCCTGCCTCTGCCTAGCATGGCTCAGGGTCAGTCATTTGATGAAGGTCAGACTCCTGCATAATATGCCAGGGAAGTTTTCTTCCTCCCACTTTCTTCCCATCCTTCCTTCCTTCTCTTCCGTTCTCTCTTTCCCCCTCACTATTGTGTGCCCCATGGCTAGCACATAATATATATTTCGCAAGATATTTTAGGCTAAATGGACAAAATATAGAGGATGAGGACAGCCCCACAAACTTGTCTTTCTGGCTGGGCCACTGGACCTCTGCATTTGGCAGGCAGGGCAAAGTAAGGTGGGGTGAGGGGCTTCCCTCCCAGGCAGTCTGGCCCTCAGGAAGTTAACAGAGTGTGAGTGTCATCTTCCCCTGAAAGTAGATCACAGTTCCTTTTTCCTCTTTTTTTGCTTCTCATTCTTAAAGTAGTATATTCTAATTGAAGGATTTGGGGGATATACAAGCTAACCCTCCTCTGTGGGGCAGGGGAACTGGAGAGACAGGAAAAATAATCACCCATAATCTCAATACCTAGAAATCACTTTTATTTACATCTTGTGAAATATCTTTCCAGTACACACATACACACACACACACACACACACAATCATACTGTACCAACTGTATATGCTATAACATTATAGTACTTCCATTGGTCACTTAGAATTCTTCCATTACTTGACTTTCAATAACTACATAGTATTCTACTGTATGGGTTGACCACAATTTATTTAAACACTTTACATGTCGACACTTGATAACAAAATAATTAATAGGAGATGATGCTACAGAGTTGCTTTATTGCTATATTTTTGTGCAGCTATGATTATTTTTTCCATCTGGTAAATACCTGAAAGGGAAATGCTCCGTGAAAGAGTTACGAGATTATTCAGGAGTTTGATACATGCTATTATGTTGTTTTCTAGATACATTGAAAAATTTAACCATCTCATCAGCCGCTAGGCATTATCATTTTACAGTATTTTTTGTTAAACATTGTCAGATAAGTGTTAAACATTGGTTCTCCTTATATTCACTTGGGTTTTTTTTTCAGCACTGATAGAGTTGAATTTTTTTTTACATTATTATTACTGGACATTTGTGTTTCTTCCTTAGTAAATTTCTGTGCAAGGCTATTACCCATTTTCTATTATAAAATCAAATTTAAAGGAAAGAAACAAAAGGTAAGAGATTGCTGAATTTAAACCTTCATGAAAATTCAGTTTAACCAGCATTTATTGTTACCTCCTTTTTGCACAGTGCTTTTTATTCTTGGACAAACATTGTTATGATCTGGTGCAGGTAAAGAAAATCCTACAATGAGATTTGTTTGAGACTTAAGTTTACTCTGTGGATAATGCCGGCTATTAATAAAATATACAGTGCTTATAATACATAAATAAAAAGAAAAATAAGTCTTGATCTAAGGTATTGCATTTGCTTGGGTGATTTGTCTATACTTATAGATGATTAACTTGGAAGTCATGTGGGAAAAGGTGAATTCAGGTACATTGTTTAGTTGCGACTCTTCAAGGCAAACACATGATTGTAGACTGCTGCTGCAGTTTTAGCTGCAACTTGGAGTACGTGGTCTTCTGGAGAAGCTTCTGAATGTTTGGTAAAGGCAGTTGTGTTTGTGTGACCAATTCCTTATATGTTTTTTAATTTTTTATTTTTAAATATGGGTGTCACTCTGTTGCCCAGGCTGGAGTGTAGTGGTGTGATTATGGCTCACTGTAGTCTTGAACTCCTGAGCCCAAGTGACCCTCCCACTTCTGCCTCCCAAAGTGTTGTGGTCACAGGCATGAAACATTGTGCTTGGCCATCAATTTCTTATATTTTGAACAAATATAAAATAGTATTGCTCAACAATTGCTCTCTCCCAAGCACTCACCAGCAGAGGACACTATATAAAGGAGGTTGCATGAGGTGGGTGGAGTTGGACAGACAGACCTATGTCTACATTCTGGTCTCACTAATGACTACTATGTCTTTGGCAAGTCACAGACTCACCGGCAAAATGAAACTTATTAAATCCATGTTTCAGATTTGAAAACAAAACAAGATAAAGATTGAACATGTATCAAAGTGTTTTATATATATATATACACACACCCATATATATATGCATATATATATATATATACACACACCCATATATATATGCATATATATATATATATACACACACACACATATACACAGAGGGAGAGACTTAAGTTTACTCTGAGGATGATGCCAACTATTAATAAAGTATACAGTGCTTACAACATGTAAATAAAAATAATTCCTGACCTAAGAATAAACACAGACGACTTAAACACACACACACCTGGTAGCCCTCATTAGGAAATAGTTCAGTCTAAATTAGAATTAGGGGTTGGGACATATATGTGAATGAACACAATACTTTAAAAAATGCTAGTGAAGAAAATATCAACAAAATAGTAGTTTCTAACAGTGTTGAATATGATTCAGAAGATTGGAGCTTCTTGGTGAACAAGTAGAAAACTACTCTTTAAAGTTAAATGAGAATAATTTACTTCCCACTCATTGGTAGACTAAAACCTACTAATTTTTGGAGAGAATGGCTGGATCAGAACTATATCCATAATTTTTCCAGGCTGCTTGGTTGCTGTGTTTTGCCAAGGAAAAAGATTACACATCATAATACAGACACTTATATAGCAACATTTATATTTTTACCCTAGTGCTTCTGTCTGCTTTATTTCTGACTCATAACAGCCATTTAAATAGGCAGTCAGATATTACATGTCTGGCTTCTCTGTTAAGGAAAAGGTCTTTGTCATACACCCGTGAATCCTTTCTGTCTTGAATGGTGTCTGGACTATAGTTCATGGTCTTAAGAGTTAGTTAACTGAACAATAATAAAAAGAAACAACTAACTTACCTTTTTGAGAGCTTCCAAGATGCTAGGCACTGTATTTTACAGGGATTTGAGGCAGGTATTGTATAATACCCATTATACAAATGAGGAAACTGAAGTTTAGGGCAATTAAGTAATTTGTCTAAGGTCTCAAAATGACAGAGCCAAGATTCAAATCCAGAGCTAATATCCAAATCCATTTTCTTAACTATAACACTTTATTGCTCCAAGTGAAGAAACTAGCAGGCAAACAAGCTCTATGGTAAAGGAATAAATGCAGGATAAGAAAGATTAGTTTTTTTGTCCATGTTCACAAAGCTTACCATTAGTGGGTTGTAACTAAATGTCTTTGTTTGCATTACTCCATCTGCCACGGCTTCCTTGGCTGTACCCTGTTCCAGCTGGAGAAGATAACAGATTAATCTGTCATGCCTAGAAGTGTTATTTGTCCTATCTACTCTTTGCTTTTTTTCATTCCCACCTCCTCCTGGATTAATATAGTATTTATTCGGTATTCCATTTTATCTCCTCTAGCAGTTTAACTATACCTTCTTGTTTTATGTTAGTGGTTGCTCTAGTGTGTTGTCCAGTAGGCTAGCCCTTTGCTATGTTAGCATGGGAAATACGGCTGAAATGAACTGAGATGTGTGGATGGTTTAACATACACACTAGCTTTTGAAGGGTTAATGTAAAACGTGTAAAATAAATAGCTCACTAGTAATTTTTTATGTTGATTACATATTGAAGTTATAATATTTTGAAGATCCTAGGTTAAATATAATACTACAATTTCCTCTATTTCTTTTATGCTTTTAATGTGGCTTCTAGAAAATTTAAAGATATATATGTGGCTTGTATTTGTGGTTTATATTATATTTCTATTGGACAGTACTGCTCTCAAGATAGTATATTAATAGAATATAAAATATATATTATAACAACATAATTCAATTAGTAATTATATAATTATCAATAATTATATATGTAATAATTATATAACTAATACAATAATTATATAATATAATGGGTTAATAAGATTTATTAGAATAATTAGAATATAATACAATAATATAAGAAACTTGCAATTATACATTTCCACTTAACCACTCCAATTTCTTATTCTATTGCGTGTATTTAACTTCTATATATGTTGTAAATCTCCCAGTACATTGTCACTATTTTTTTTCTTAACTAGTTATTAAGAACTGTGAAGTTTTAGAGACTTCATCCCACTTGCAAGCTAATAGGTACCCTGTTGCTGTTTGAGGGATGTTGACAAGAGACATGAGACTCCTGGGTCCAAGGACTTTATTACTCAAAGAACAATGAGCAGCATGAGCATCAGAGTATTTGCATTGACTCCTCTTTCCCCTAAGTTCCACATGGGCGATGTGATGGGCCCAGATAGATACTACACAAGCAGAGGGTTTGTGATGAAGCTAAGGAACTCAGGGTCTAGTGCCTAGCATGTTTTGAACAAGCAGTAAACATTGCAGAAAGCAGCTAACAGGCCAGTCTTCCTACCGTTAGAAAGGGAGTAGTTTCCTAGTATTTACACTGTCATTACCTTGCTACTTAGTCACCTTCATGATTAGCTACAGAAATTGCTGCTTATCAGGAGACAGATAAACTTTGAAATCTGGCACATGCCGCAAGAACTTGCGTAGATGGCCATGATGCATGGCATACTACTCAACACAATCAATTGCCTTTAAAAAAAAAAACAAATGAGGAAAAAAATGATTTCATATTTACCTACGTTTACCATTTTTGGTGCTCTTCATTCTTTTGTGAGAA